>NC_000001.11:232547757-232699273 GCF_000001405.40 Homo sapiens
CAACGTTATCTCACTTCCAAAGCCCTCTCATTTCCAAATCATATCTCATTTCCAAATCCCTCAAGCTTTAAGCAGTTTTCTTCAGAATAATAAACATCTGGTAAAGATCCCTAACCTGCAGAGTGTGGCTGACTGTGAATGCAGTGACAAAGGTGCAAGAGACTGTTCTCAGTGGCAGCTTCAACATCTGTGCTGTGCAAAGGTGGCCTCCTGATACACAACAGCACACACTGTGGCCTGACACACAACTGGCTGTCCCAAAATGTGATTCACAGTCTTCTCAAATGCTAATCCCAAGAACAAGTAGAAAGCCAATTTTCTGGAGAAATAATTACATAATCCACTTTTTACAGACAGGCTCTTCTACAGAGTAATTACTTGAGTAAAAGAAAAATAAACACTAGTATGATGACTACAGTAATCATGAACATGCTGGAGGCAGAGCCCAAATCTCCAAGGGTTCTAATGGATTCTATAAAGCACAGATTCGAGAACTGTATGGCTTTCTTCTGCAGCTCCCAAGATGCAGGCTTGGTATGATAAGCAAACACAGCTGAAGAGCCACCCTGACTCCCTAGGGGATATTCTCAGACTATAAACAACCTCATTCGCCACCTCCATTTGCTTCCAACCTCTGTACATACTTGTCTCAATTCATAATTAGTGTGAAACCCAGAGTATCTTTATTGTTTGGTATCTACCTTCCCACAATACTTAGACTCATGGAAGACAAAATATTTGTTTTACAACCTCAAACAATGGTAAGTTCAATATACTTTATTCATTTACTCTTTCAATAAATATGTACTAATAAATTCAATCAATATACTTCATTCATTTACTCTTTCAATAAATATATACTAACGCCCCTACCTGAAGGCAGATAACAAGCCCAGCACTGCAGGAGTAGTGAAAAGAGGGACACGGCAAGGCCTCCCACAGTCTTGGAGGTAGTGTAAACCCCACACTCCAACAGGAACGGAGCTCCCCTGAACAGAGGGGGCCCAGATCAACTGTGAGGACAGGACAGAACACATCACAGAAGGATGGCATGGATCCAGGCAGGGGACGCAGCCTACGCAAAGACATGAAGGGAGAGCGAGCAGGATCCGTGCAAGGACAAGGGAGGAAAGCAAGTGGCAGATGAGGTACAGAAGTGGAAAGGCCAAGGCCAGCTGTGCAGGGAGGAGCAGAAGCTTCTGGAAAGCCCAAGGGGCTGGTGTATAGCCAGAGGCTTGAATAACACTGAAAAAGGGGATTCTGCAAGAAATAACCTGGGAAACAGAAGGAGGAGGAGCTTCCCCTTACTGGTCAGGATTTGCACACCAAAAGGGACATGGAGCTTTCATGCTGGGTCTGTGCCACCAGCACCCTGTCCTCCACACAACCCAAGTGAGGCCTCCCCCAACCAGAGGTGACAGGAGCAGCCAGAAAAGTCCCCACTCCACTGCCCTCACTTCCAGCCTGCCTGGACGACCTCCCAGCACCCTCCTTTTAGCTGACACAGAACCTTCCTCCTTGACCAGCCACCTTTCTTCCTCTTAGGACTCGACAGCAGATGTTCCTAGCCTTACACTATCATCCTTTTCAACCTGCCTGTCACTCTTCCCAGTGGTTTTCTCTAATTAATCCCAAAGAGGAGATCTGAAAGCCAAATCCTCAAGGTTGTAGAAAAGGTATATAGAATTAAAGCTGACCACTTTAGAGTGTAAGCAGTTGGTAGAGAAGAAGCCAGGTAGTATAAGAAAACTCTCAAGAATTGTTAACATGTAAAATGACTGAAATCAGCATGTTATCTGATGTTGATGGGAGCTCCTATTATGTGGGAAATTTCCGTTAAGTGGGACACTTTTTCCCTAATGATTGTAAATAAGTGAGGCAGGGTACCACCATTCACCTAAAACTGGGGGAGGGAGGATTGAGGAGAGGAATCTGAGGCACAAATAAGGGAGGAAAAACTAAGCTTTTTCTGAAACTGAAAAATCTGCTGATCCAACTTACATTTCAAGTTTTGACATAAAACTCACTGGTCAATATTATTTTTCTTCATCATTTTTGTTTTGTTTATGTTGCTAATTGACTATACCACCGCTGCCTTAGATTATAATAACCAGCAGGGAAAAAGAATGGTGCTCTACAATCATTCTGAAGCCTGGTCACCCACGGGCAGAGACTCTTAATACATACAGTGTGATGGTGATAACTGTGACAGTGAATTTCTTTTTCATTTCTGTGCAGAAATAGAGAATAGCTGATCAAATGCCTGAAGAGGGATTACACACTTAACTATCTATAAGACAGAACTCAGAATTTTTCTAAACTGTAACTACCCACATCCATTTCAGATTTTTGTTGTGGTTGCTGCATGAAATACTTATTAACAATGCTACTTCATTAGTTTACCAAATGGCATCTTGCTATATTCAAAGGAGAGTGTTCATTACTCAAAAGACCATCTGTCTAAAAGCTCAACAGAAGGTTTAAGTAATCAAGATCTAGGGCAGGATGTATGGCTGCATTATATCAAGTCAAATATTTGCATTTCTCAGTATTTTAAATATGAACGTTCTTATCCAGCCACCCACCGCAAGTCAGACTTAATTACTATCTATTTTCAAACCAATACAGAAATTTCAATACAAGGATAGCTTAAACATAAGCAAACAGGATTGCCAACCACAAGAGTCTGTGCAGCCACCTTCATTTATATAAGAAATAATCCTGACAGCAGCAATATTTTCAACCAGAAAAGCAGTTAAACACCATTACACAAATCAGAAGAACATTTGGAAAAACAGCTGATTCTGCCTTTTGGAGCATTAATAATTGTGGCTGTTTTTGCTACTATGATCAAAATTAGCAGCAGCAGCAGTAGCAGCAACGTTTAATCTCACTTAAAGGTATCCAACACTACTGTCTTCTTAATGCAGACAACAGAACCAAGGCTGGCAACTCTTCTCCCCTCGGGAGGTGATGCATTTCATTGAGAAAACGTGAGAGGTGCGTGGGCTAAAACAGACAGAGACACTAAAGTCCTCTTTCCAAACTGTTATTTAAAATAGTCATGACTATTAAAATATTCAAGAATATTTTAAATGGAAAAAAGGGGGAAGAGCAACATGGAAGAGGTATTGCTAAGTCAACTCACTAGGTTCTGGCTTAAAGCAGAGTGCCATTGAGGACAATGAAACAGAAACAGTGGACTGGGAGTGAGGAGACAGGTAAAGACCAACCAGGAGGGAAAACAGCAAAGACTGGAAAAAAATCAAGCCCGAATGGGAATCCTCCTACCACCACCTATTAACTCCTAGGTGGCCCCAGACAAACTACCGTGCGTTTCTATGTCTGTTTTCTCATCTGTAAAGAGTTAATGAAGCAAACAGTAGGGCTGGTGGGAAGATTAGATGAGATAGCAGAATGCATGTGTTTGGGACCTAATAGGCACTCCAAAACCAAAAAACAAAAACCACAAAACACTGGTGTAGTCCCTTCTGTCATGTCCCCCTAAAATCAGTTGTTTTTATTATATGACCCAGAACCAGCTCTTTCTCCATCTGTAAGAGAAAAGGGGTAGACCTGAAATACTACCTAAGAGAGGAGCCCTCACAACTTCAACATCCAGTATCTAAGGAACATTGGCTGCCAGCAGATTTACTGCTCCATGCTCACTGGGGAGGCCTAATAACAAACTAGTTTAACAACAAGCTAACTGAGGATGAGCCACGAGAATTTGAAAAATTTTTAAAAAATGAAGGACAATATGTCAAACTGACAAAGCAGTAGTACTCCCAAGAAGAGCGGTGGGAATTTCCAGGAAGGAGAGAGGCCCCAGTGGGGGAGGTGAGAAGAAGGCCTGGAAAGACCCTCCAGCCTCCGCAGACAGAGCGCTCCAGGCTGCCCACAGCCCCAGAGAGCAGGAGGGCGGAAGGGTTGCGCTGGAGCAAATGATTCAGATTCCTGTGAACTGTAAAAGCCTTTTAAAAAGCTACAGCCGGAGTGATAGTTTAGCTGATGAGTTGAGCCTTAAAAGCCAGGCCAAGGAATTTTAACTTTTCCATGAGAACAATAAGGTTATTTTTTATTTATTTATTTTCCCCATGAGAAGAAGTCTCGCTCTTGTACCCCAGGCTGGAGTGCAATGGTGCGATCTCGGCTCACTGCAACCTCTGCCTCCTGGGTTTAAGCGATTCTCCTGCCTCAGCCTCCTAAGTAGCTGAGATTACAGGCGCCCGCCCCCACGCCTGGCTAATTTTTGTATTTTTAGTAGAGACAGGGTTTCACCATGTTGGCCAGGCTGGTCTCGAATTCCTGACCTCAGGCGATCCACCCACCTCGGCCTCCCAAAGTGCTGGGATTACAGGCGTGAGCCACCACACCCGGCTGAGAATAGTAAGTTTTTAAGCCAGAGAGGGTTAGATTTATATCAAATATTTAGTGTCCAGTGCCTCACAAAGAGCAACCGGTGATTAAATATCACCTTTTATTAATACTGATAACAATATGCTTATATACTGCCTTTACCTGGCATTACAGAATTTTCTTAATTCTTAGGTAAAAGGTTGAAATCAGGAGATTGGTAGCTCTCACTGACTTATGGAACTGGTAACTTGCCTGACACAGACTAAGTAATTAGTAAATATTCGTTTTCTGCTTGTTTCTTTTTCAGAGAAAGGGTTGGCTGGAGCACAGTGGTGCAATCATAGCTGAGGCTCAAGGGATCCTTCTGCCTCAGCCTCCCAAGCAGCTAGGACTACAGGCATATGCCATCACATCGGGTTAATTTTGTATTTTTTGTAGAGCTGGGGTCTTGCTCTGTTGCCCAGGTTGGTCTTGAACTCCTGGGCTCAAGTGATCCTTCCACCTCAGCCTTCCAAAATGTTGGGATTATGGGCATGAACCACCACACACAGCCAATAAGTATCTGTTGAATCAAAGAATGCTTAAGTGAATGGATTATATCTAGCAAATATAGTATAAGAGAAAGAAATAACATTCATGAAATAAAAAAGCAGATTCCTGTATTTTAACACCATAAAATGGCCACTACAATTGAAACAGAAGACTTCCCTGACCCCCTTCACTGAATGTACAACGGGGGGTGGCACCCCTTATGGAGGGGGAGCATGCACACAGGCAGGTGCAGGAACCAGGGGGAGATCTTTTGGGCTCCAGCCACACAGCTGCATCTAGGGGTGGGTGCCTGCGACTCCCAAAGCCCCAGTGGGCATGCTTTTAGCTCTGCCATCTGCAGACGGCCTAAGTGTTAACCAGCTCAGTGCCCTCTTGGTACTCGGGTTCTTGTCTGGAGTCCAGGAAGCATCAGGTCACACACAGACTTGAAGGATGGTGAATTCAGGGGTTTTACCGAGTGGTGGAGGTGGCTCTCAGCAGGATGGATGAGGAGCTGGAGAGGAGGTAGAGTGGGAGGATCATCTTCCCCTGGAGTTTGGCCATCCAGTGGCTGATCTCCTCCCCAACTGTCCCTAGTCGAACTTCTCTGGATATTCAGATGCTCCTCCTCGTCTCTCCTTCTCTGCTGCACTGTTCTGCTGCCCTTCTCTCTTCTGTTCATCTGCCCGTCTGCTCATGGAGCCTGGGGTTTGGGGTTTATATGGGTACAGGACGGGGGGGCGTAGTGGGCCAAAAGACAACATTTGGGCATGAAAACGGGAATGCCTGTTCCCACTTAGGGCCGTGGATTTCCAGGCTTGGGGGTGGGGCCTTTGTTGGAGAACTGCCCTCTTCTACCCAGTATTTCCCTGTTTCCTGTCTCTTGTCCATATCACTATGTGACACGTTGTCTCTGGCCTCAGCTACACGTGGAAAGTGGCCAGGCTGCCAGGAGGCAAGGAGCCAGCACAGGATTTAGATAGAGGAGTTAGCTGCTCGACTGTCTCCTATATTTATACTCTTACCCCTGAGCGTCCATTTAATGTTTTCTTCTCCTTATAAAATACATGTCTAAATCCTCTTCTACCATAAAACTCATTTTAAAAATTGGTCTTTTCTGTAATTTGTGAATATTTATCTCCATTATCAGACAAATTCCAAGAGTACAAACACATATTTATATTCATTACAGAGGTGAGCCATCTGTAAGTGATCAACAAAAACTTTCTCATAAAGAACATAAAAGCCATCAACACAATGAAAATTCTGATAACCCATGTTCATTCTTTCATTTAAGCATTAAGAAGTTACCAAGCAGCAAGGCCCCATGGTAGGCAATGAGAAATACCTAAGGCATGAGCCCTGACTCCATCCAGGACATTTATAAACTACTGCAGGAGGCAAGATTAACATACAAATCTGTCCACAACACTGGTTTCAATCTCTAAAAAGTTATTTTTTCCACCAGAGTAACTATTAAGAATCAAAATGGATACATTTGGTTTTAAATTTCTATCTTCATCTCCTGTCTGTCTCTCTCAGAGATAAATGTTAACAAGCACTAGAATTATTTAAATGCAGTCATCAGAGCAAACCAGAAGAGAAGGACAAATGGAGAACAATCTATAGGAGAGACATAGCAGATCAGTGGCTGGACAGTCTGAAACTTCAATAACAGGACACAATACAAAGAAGAAGGGCTCCTACAGGAAAGGATATGGTGAAGTGGCTGTGCTAAAAGAAGGGATTATGAAATAAAATATTTACATTTAAAGTCCTAGTTTTAACAAACTTACTTTATCCAGCCTCTCAAATTCCAAAGCCTTCAACAGGAAAAGTCTTTCCACAATGCTACCCTAAAAATAGTTCCCTTTAGTCTTTCTCAGGATACCATGTAGATTTCCCTTCAGTTTGCTTTTGCAACAACACTGGTGTCACGAAGAATGAAACGACGACTTATTTTAACTAGAGAGCAATATTTATGTTATGCACACATATCTTGACACTGTCACACACGTGCTGATGTTTTCTTTCTAGAAATGGGATCTGCATCAGCCGTGTTTGGTGTGTGCCCTGGCCTTGCAGCTGTTGTGCTGGCAAGTTGGGTGTTGTTCCCAGGCATTCCACGGAGTTTCTTGGTTTAATTTTATCTAACAGGCTAAAAGGGGTACAATTATTTTTTATCAAAATAACAATAAGGAAATAACTTCCAACAATGAATTTCTAAGTGAAAGAATCTGCACATCATACATTTGTGTCTGTAATTAGCAAAATTAAATGTCCCTTTCTCTCCGTGAAGTATTTAGCTTGCTTCCTTACAATAACTGTCCATGGAATAAAAGCAAATAAACAAGAAATTGAGTTTACAAACTTATGGACATTAATTATTCAATTTTGGCAGATGCTTTTACTTTAAAATCAGTTACAATACAAACATGTGAAAAACTTCTAGGTTCTAAATCACATCACTAATCTCAGCAGTTCTGAGAAAACAAGTGACTCTTCTTTCGAACAAATGAAACCACCCAAACATTATTTATCTTTCAGCTGCACTACTCCCATGCCCAAAATTAAACAGAGAAAAGTTTTCAGACTCAACAATTCACCTCCACCGGTAATCTGAAGCCAGAGTGGGAGAGCAGGTATTTGTGGAGCCAAGTCTGAATGTAATTCTATTTACAATGCCATGCTTTGCCCCCCTAAAGCCAACCTGGAGCAGCATAACCCCACCCTGATCTTTATCACCTCCAGCTGGAGTGAGGAGTCAGGTTCCCCAAGGTGTACTTCTAACCAGAATTCCCCAAGACAGACTAACCAAATGCCTAATTAACAGAGAGAAGAACCTCCAGTTGCTCCACCATATATAGGCTCTCACTGAAGTATCACCAAGTCTAAGACAAAGCAGACAGCTGATAAACAATCCACTTTCTTCAGCCCCCTCTAAGGAAGCCTCAACAGCCAAATGTAATCTAATAATTAGCATATGTAAGAGTAAAGGTCCAGACCATGACATCAGCTTCACAGAAAAATCAGCAGATTCAAAAAAGATCCACGGAGCCTATGCAGTCTTTGGAAATTCTAAATAAATGAAAGGATGAAAGGACAGAACAGCAGGGGATAGAGAACTCTACATTCTAGGTCCTAGAAAGCACAATACAACATTTCTAAACAAAACTATTCTGCAAATTCTCTATTACAGAAAAAAATCTATCCATCACAAAGGTATTAGCTCACAAGGGTATTAACTGAAAAGTTGCTTCCCTAGCAACCTCCACATTGCAACAATGTCCTTGAATAGCATTTTGCAGAGACGGCAAGCCATAGTTAACCCAGAAGACTGTCAACAGTTCAAGGATCACCTAAACTTGGTGAGAGCCATGAAGAGCTAACACAGGATTCCTTAAAGATGACATTACTGCTAAAGATAACATGAGTGCACACATTCTGAAGTATCTGTAGCAAGAACTCAGGATCCACTAAGCTGTTTAAAGAAGTTTAATGTGTACACTGTGATAAAAGCTTACCTTTCTGTCTGTTACAAAACTTACAGAGGAATGAACTGAACTCAACTAAGCTTCTCTCATCAAGGGTTTTGCTGGCAGCCCCTGCCCCTCAAATTTACCCAACATCTATCTCATCTGTTGGCATGTCAGGTTTTCTGTTGTTGCTGCTGCTGCTGTTGCTTAAGTTAAAGATAACCAAATAATTATCTCAATTACATTTTTAAAAGAAAAAGTGAACCCAAAACTTCTTCTCTCCCTTTAGCGATAAGGTATGGCCATAGTGCAGTTTAACACACCAGCTGATAATTCTACAAATGTGCTCTGATGCTGCACAGACAAGGATGGAAACAAAATCCACGCAATTCAAAAGGCAGCTATCAATGGCACATAAACCCCGTTCAGATATGGAGAAACCAGACAGATAAGTGTGTCATCCGGGAAAAACAAACAGAGACAGAAACAAGATAAAACCAAAAGAAATTATGTGTCTTCGGGAGCTGTTATCAATCACACTTGAGAATCTTTGAACTTTGCTTTGTAAAACTAGGGATCTTATCCTCTCATACAAACAGTTAAAAAAAAAAAAAATGGAAGAGCTCCAAGGTAGTGAACACTGGGGTCAGACTGAAGTCTGCAAAAAGATAAGACAATTTACCCAGGAAAAGTTAAAGCACACTTCTTGGAAAGCTCATTTAATTTCCCTCTATTTTTTAGATTCAGATATCAAAATCTCAAGGATTTTGCAGTCTTTGAGATTTTCAGGATGGAGGCAATCCGTTGGACCAGGAGACACAGGCCAGCTCTGGGACAACAGTCAAGAATGGAGAGAGAAGCCATGTGGAAGAAATCCCACACCCAACAAAAGTAAATTTTTACCTGTGTCCCGTGAGCAAAAGAGGATTAACAAAAACTCATGAAGGCAGCTCAATAAAATACTGATAGGAGGTGAGAGGCTGACACTGCACAGCGCCTGTGTAATCCACAGTAGGTTATGGTGACAATGTTTGTGGATCCGGTCTCATTGCTATCACAAATTCAGCAGGCGTACAGGACAAATAGGAAGATATAACATACAGTGAACGCCTGCCAGGGGTTGGGCTCCATTTCTGGCATTCGCTTCTACCTAAGGCACCCCATAATGTGGTTATCAGTCTCTCTATTAAGATAAGCCATAACGGACTCTTGAGAGTTCAGGCGCTTTTCAATAGTGGAAGCCACATACAGCAGGGGTAGGTGTTTAACTTTGGTCAAAGGTTACAAAAAAACTCCTTGTGTGTTTCTTTCTATGCAAATCATTCACTATCTTAACCCCACAACACATCAGGCCCCACCAAACAATGACTTCAACCAGTCTTTCCATTCCCAGCCAGTGAGTTTCCTCTCTCACTCTTGTTAACCCAAACTCCAGGTACTTTGAAAATTCCAATATTCCAAAGAATATTTCCTCTGCAGCTACTGTGACTTCCATGTGTTCTCACTGTCTCTGGCAAGCCACAGCTCTTGCCCTATTCCGTGTTCTGAGAGACACAACCCAACATTACCATTATTTATTTACATGCTTGTCTATCCCACTAGACTGAGGATGTAGAAATCAGAGAAACCTGGTCAATGTGGTATTGTCTCACCCTGCCTAACAAGATGCCTGGCACAGTGAAGACACAAAAGATTGTCAGCTAAATGAAACATTGCCGGCATGTGCTGAGAAGTGTCAACAGGCTGAACATCCTGTACCAGCATGACACTGACTGTAACATCTCCAGTCCATAGATAAATCATACATTTAAAACACTCAGACATTATTTTTATAAGGATCATTATTCCACATCACCAAAGCAGTGTCTGTATGGAGAGTAAGCCAAAACAAAAGCCTTGCTGGAAAAAGTGACAAGTCATAGCTGCATTGTTCAAACAGAACCCTACTTGGAAAGCCAGTTGCCATAGGCTTTTATCTCACACAGTGAAACCTCCCCAGACAGCTTGAAATGAGGAGAAAAGATAACCCACTGAGATTTACACTTCAAAGAGCAAGAAGCCTCGAGGTAAGATTTGACTGTATCCTAATTAATGGCAAAACATAATTAAAGAGAGTTTTGGGCAGGAACTGGGGACATGAAAAGAGGATCCTAGAGGAAATTTTGGCATCCAGAGGAGAAGGACCCTCAGCCACTAGATGGGGAGTCCTCTCCTGGGCAGTCCTTGTCTGAAGCCATAATTGTTCAACTCACTTCTCTCCCTGGTTCTGATGGTAAATGTGCCCCACCCCCGGCCACGGTTCTGATGGCAAATGTGCCGGGCAACCTGCAGACCTCTGTCTACCTTCAGGAAGGGAATATGGCACTGAGAAAAGGCTGGCATTCAGGTTCCCATGGTGAGCATATTTAGTTTTGTACATTACTAAGTAGGCATTCTTGTCACATACTCCGCTACTGAGTTTGGTTAAAGCAACCAAGTCTGAGAGATAGATCCATTCTCAGTGCACCCCCAAACAAATTTTTTTTTTAATTTTGCCAGCTAATGAGTTATCTCCCATAAAAGTCTTCTGGAAGAACTAACTGGCATTTCTCCTGGCTGATGCATGATCCTAAATCTTCGTTTTTATGCATGTTTTCTTTAAATTTCTACACCATGTGCATCAAGTTTTATGAGGGTAATCACTTTTAGTCAATAGTAGTTTTTACCAAACAGATAACAATTTATTCAGTAAGACTCACTATCCTAGTATAAAACGATCCTCTCACCTCTCAGGGTAGAAGTGTCATGGAAACAGTTTGGTTTCACCAGTACTAAATTAATACTGCTTTTGCAGGGCTGAGGCAAAAATTTAATTTGCAAAAACCAGCCCAAGGCTACCATGATATAAAATTCACTTGATGTGTTAATTTCACACTCTAGAGTCCTCATCCCACCGGTGGGTGGGTGATCTCAATTATGTAAAGTAGAAGAATGTCTGAATTTACCCCAGCAACCCCAGACATCAGCACTCTAGGCCCAGCAGGAAGCCAGAGCTCAGCTTCCTTCCTGCCAGCCCATGGGGTAGCAGGGATTATCCTAGAAGTCAGCCAGACTGAGTAAATATTTTCACTATGCAGAGCTCAATCATAGGGCAGCAGCATCCCATTTAATAAACTTTTTCTTCTACATCTTAACACAGAAGGGATGCTTCCAATATGAACAAATAGTAACATAAACTCAATCAGCTCCAGCTAGACCCGGCATGTAGAGTGCTTTAGACTCTGCAGTCACAAGCACTAAGCCTGGGAACTGCACAGGCAGGAAGAATAAACCTCCTTTTGCCCCGGTCAGTGTTCTTGAAAAGAAATATGCCAACTCCTGTAAAATAAATACATGTTCTAGCATAAAAATACTATTTATAAAGACCATGAAATAATGAAATGTGCTTTAATAAAAGCACACCAAAATGTATATGCAGTATATCAACAGAATATAATACAAACATACATACACAGACATACCATGTATTTATAGAAAAAAGATGAAGAAAATTCTCCAAAATTTTGTTTTCATCATTGGGTGTTGACAATTGAGGAGATTTTATTTCCTTCTTTCTATACAAATACTATATATGTAATATATTACTTTTAATAGGTTACCTGTATAAAACAAAGAAGCCTTGGTTCAAAATATAAGTAAATGAAGATTAGTGTGTATTACTTTAAATAAATAAATTGCTCTATTGTTAGAGTAAGCTACAATGTTTCTACTATAGACTAATTCAATGCAGATATAAACTGACTATCTGTTCATCAAGGAAATAAAAGTTCACAAAGAGTAATAATACCTACCCATCAGCAAATCCGTCTGGAAACAAATTTCCTTCCTGTCGGTTCCCCTCAATTCATTCTTGATTTTTGATCCCTGCCTAATCTGCTCTCTCTCTCACACACAGAACTGTTGGACTTTCAGGGCCCACAAAGGAACTAACTCAGAACAGAAATAGCCCTTGGCCAGTCCTTTATTGACAGTAAAGAAACGTACTTTGTGTTTTTAAAAACAGTTTTCCCTGTGAGCTGGTGGTAGCATGGCAGCCAGCAATCCCATCTTCCTGTCCATCAGACTATTGGGATAAAATGGCTTAACCACCTCCTACCCCAAACCACATCCCCAGCTACCTGCACTACACCAAAACATTAGTAAGAAATCAGTAGTCTGGTATTAGTAATTGATTTAACCAAATAATATCACCCAAAAGAAGCTGCTATGCCCTGTTGCTCATACGCTGCACTGGTATTTAATAAGGCCCTCAGGAATAAAAAATTTAATTCAGAGTCATCTTTTTGGATCATCTGCTCATGAAGCTGAGTACTTACTAAAGATTCCTTTAATAAGGCATAATTCCTTAGATATAGGAACGTTTCCCAGTGATTGTTTAATCCTCATGGGAAGGAAAATGCTGTGTACTGGTCACCTTGCCCAGCAGGGAGGCCCTCCAGCTCTCACCTGCCTCCTCTGCATGTGGGAGGCAGGCCCAGAGGCCTCAGCCTTCATGAGCCTCAATGGCCAGACCAGGACACAGCAGCCCCAAAGCCCTGGGCCATGTACTGAGAAGTTCTAACATGAACCAGAAATCAAAGCTTCTAAGTGCATATAATTTCTCACAGTGGAACAGAATCATGAGAGGTATCACTGCTGGAAAAACGCCAAGATGTAAAACTTGGATAATAAATAAATGCAAATTATCTACTAAAGATACTGGATTTTAAGAGTCTAGATTTTCATGAAGAGGAAAAAAAAGTAAATAAAAACACTACAGTATCCTGAGCTAGAACTTTAGTAGACGTAAAAGAAGCCTTTTTCAAAGCATTAAACTTTCATTCCAATATTTATTAAGAATCTACTATGTTCCAGACAGATATATTATGACTCTTACACATTTGCTCACGTGCATAAAAAGTCATTTGGTTTAGACATTCCCACCGTCTACCAGTTCCTGGGGAGGTATACTGCAATCTCCACGTCAACTGATAAAGATAATAGAAGACAAAGTCAGTCAAACAATGTGAATTCCTAGACCTTTTTGATTAATGATACAAATGGCCACGACATCATTCTCAACTATCTTCCCAACTCCTTATCATTATATATTCTGGTAAAAGATAACAAAGTTTCAGGTAAAGTTTCAGGAAGTCAGCTTTTGATTATTTTAAATGGGTTTGCACATATGTACCTGTCACTATTTGACCAGAAGACTACATTTTGGACATTCTCATGCCAGATTCTGACTGGCCCCTGATGTGTACCTGCAATTAAGATAATTATTTCCATATACAAAACTACAAACTGGATCCCATTTTCATTACCTTTTGGGTTGGAGCTGGATACACAGATCACATGTTCATCCGATGTCCTTCTCTACCACAGGGGAGCCACACACAATGCCCACCCCTAGTAACAGGAAATGAAACACTAATGAGCCAAACAGCCATCTGCCTGTGCCCAGAATGAACAGTCCAATGAGCCTGTTGGTCCTTCCTTATTCTACAGATAGAAAACAAAAGCAGAGTACATGCTCTTTTACCTTTGACTGGCAGGCTGTCCAGAGTGACTCTGGATAAGTTACTTATCATTGCCAGGCTTTGATGGGAATGGTCTTGATGAAAGAAAATTCCGCTTTCCAGCCCCAGCTTATACCTACTGAGTCAAAATGCAGGAGCAGGAGAGAGGGATACACAGGGCAGCGTGTGGAATGCACCTGGGCATGGGTACTTCGGCAAAGGCCTCAGGTGACTCTTGATATGGAGGCTTAGCGATTACTAAACCTTTTCCAGGGCCAGAGGTAAAGAGGAGGCCATAAAGCCAACCACCTGATGGGTCCCACCGCGCCAGCTGCTCTGAGAGGCCCTGAGCGAGTAAATACGGCTTCAAATATGGATAAGTTGCTGAGACCACCAACAAATCCCCAGGAGTTTTGGAGGGCAGAGGACACTGGAGAAGTACTGATGAGGAGAAATGGGGAAAATGACCCAAATGTAGTTAGGAAAACCAAAATGCTGCCCTTGGCAAGGCTGCCCAGGCTTGTCCTTACAGAGTGGCAGATATGTCAACTGCACATTTTGAATGCCAAGGAGGCACATGCGTCTGTAACAGCAGCAGAAAGGAGTTAAATACATTCAGTATTAATCATAAAGTTGTCAAAGATAACTTAAAGTCTATCCCCTCCCTAAGCACTGCTAAAGAAAAATCTTTACTTGGCTAATTGCCTGGATGAAAATTAGTTTGGGGATGATCTGCATAAAGATATGTGCTTTAAAAAGTCAAAGCTACACAGGAATTCTAACACACCGCCTATTAGAGCATTTTAATGGAAGGAGATAGAATAAAGGAAGAAAAGAATCATAAATAATACCCAATCTATTATGTGGACACATTAAAGGCATCACATTATTTTATAATGAGAATTTTTTTCCATTGCAACTGTTAATAACCTAATACTTTTTCACCATAATGTACTGATGCGTATTTCCAAGAATGGATTCGAAGCCAACAAGATCTGATTGCCATTTTAAAAACAAATGTAAAGTAATAAATGTTTACTACTGACTCTGTTTAGTCCACTTGATAATCAGATCTGAACAAGGGGATCCCCTCAGCAAATAAAACGCATCATCAGACAGAGGACAGAGACCTACAAACAAAAAAATGCTTCACGTGTTCACTTTTTTCCCCTTAGCACCACTAACTGTGCACATTCTAGCACATTTTAAAAAGGAGAAAAAATAAAAATTAGCCACCTAACAAACACCTGCAAGCTGTGTCGAGAGAACCCAGGCATGGAAGGAGAGCTGTGTAGACATCTGGCATCACCTGTTAGACTGCCAAACCACTGTATTTTTAAGCTATTCAGATGCTTTCTGAAAAGAAACAATAAAAATCCTACATGCCTGAACTGTGAGGTGGGGGAGCCTCCTTGTAGCTCAGCCCTTGTCAGACAGACTACAGCAGCCTCAGAAGGTTCAATAGCCTCTTTATAAACCTATTGTGTGGTGTAGTGCCTAAAAATAGTATGGTTTGGCAGGCAGATCATACCAAGGAATAATCCTACATACTCAACTCCTAAACAACAGACACAGGAATAGAAAAGAAAACTAAATTGTATTTTCAGTCTGCACCTAAGCTCTTGTGGTCACCTCTTCACCTGGATTCCTCCAGCTTCCTCATTTTGTCTGAACACACAGCAAACCTAAATTTTAGCCCTTACAGCCTACACAAGAATATGAGAGGAATGCGGGGGGACCTAGGCAGGCAAACAGAGGTGGGGTGCATGACTGAGCCACACATTTCTATAGTATACACTGCCACGCTTAAGAGAACTTATACCCTCCCACTGAAATAGACAAGAAGGTCTGTTGTGATGATTACATTATAATAATTATTGAATATGGCTTTCAAGTTTCCCTTACACTGAAGTTCTCAACCCTTCCTTCATAGCTTTTAAGAATTACCTGGGGAAGTTTAGGAAAATACAGATGTTGGAAATTCAGTTTTAACTCAGTTTTAAGTTTCTGAGGTGCACAGCTAGGGCTTAGACCGCTGCTTAAAACAACAAAGCTTTTTGTTTTGTTTTATGACGGAGTCTCGCTCTGTTGCCCAGGCTGGAGTGCAGTGGCATGATCTCCGCTTCCTGCAGCCTCTGCCTCCCGGGTTCAAGCGATTCTCCTGCCTCAGCCTCCTGAGTCACTGGGATTACAGGTGCCCGCCACCATGCCCAGCTAATTTTTGTATTTTTAGTAGAGACAAGGTTTCATCATGTTGGCCAGACTGAACGACAAAGGTTTGTTTTTTTTTTTCGTGTGTGTGTGTGTGTGTGTGTGTGTGTGTGTGTGTGTGTGATGGAGTTTTGCTCTTGTTGCCCAGGCTGGAGTGCAATGGTGTGATCTTGGCTCGCTGCAACTTCTTACAGGCATCAGCCACTGCTCCTGGCCAAGGAAGGTTTCATCATGTTGGCCAGACTGAACGACGAAGGTTGTTTTTTTTTTTTTTCGTGTGTGTGTGTGTGTGTGTGTGTGTGTGTGTGTGTGTGTTTCATCATGTTGGCCAGACTGAACGACAAAGGTTTTTTTTTTTTTCGTGTGTGTGTGTGTGTGTGTGTGTGTGTGTGTGTGTGTGTGTGTGTATGATGGAGTTTTGCTCTTGTTGCCCAGGCTGGAGTGCAATGGTGCGATCTTGGCTCGCTGCAACTTCTTACAGGCATCAGCCACTGCTCCTGGCCAAGAAAGGTTTTTTAGACCCCATCAGGTCGACTGCTCAGGCCACAGAGGCAGAAAACAAAAACCAGGAGGGAGGGGGTCACTATCAAGCATGAAGCCTGCCTGCAAGGGATGGGCCACCAAGAGGCCAGGAGTGCCACCCTTCTAGAGAGCACTCCTGGACAGAATGAAAATCAGGCCACAATAGGCAGCTACAAGAAACCATCAGATGAGATCATAAGAAAGTACAAAGTTAAAAGCTACATGTTAACACTCCTCAAACCCCAATTTTAATTTAGCGTTTACTTTTCCTTTTTTCAATATATTTATCTGAAAAGAGATTCTTACTCTGGGTTTTTATTGTGGGGACAGGATGGCAGAAGTATTACTCTTCTCCCAGAAGTATTAATAAATTAATACATATTAATATAGATGGGAGAAGTAATAAATAATAAGTGTACACATGTTCTCTCTCATAAGTGGGACCTGAACAACGAGAACACATGGACATAGGGAGGGGAATGACACACACTGAGGCCTGTCTCAGGGTGGGGGATGAGAGGAGGGAGAGCATCAGGACAAATAGCTAATGCATGCGGGGCTTAAAACCTAGATGACGGGTTGATAGGTGTAGCAAACCACCATGGCACATGTATACCTATGTAATAAACCGGCACGTTCTGTGCTTGTATCCCAGAATTTAAAGTAAATAAATTGATAATGAGTAAGTACACTAAATGAAAGATAGAAATAGTAAGTGTCTAACAGTTGATTTTTCAAATAAAAGAAAATAGCTAGATCAACAAGCATCGTCTGGATGAATCTGGATAAAAACCTTAGATAGGTGAAGTAACTTGCCCAATGTCATATCAAGTTAATAATCTGACACCTTGGATGGCAAACCAGGTTGTTGTCTAACTCTCCGATTAAGGTTCTTCCAGGTTTTTTCACTAAATCAAACTGTTTTCACCAAGCCCAACTGCCAGAATGCTTTTCTGCAAATACATGGGTGTCAACACAGGCTCATGGCTAAGAGCCTGACACTAGAATCTCCTTCAGGCCAAAGTGCCTGCTCAACTATTGACTGTGAGACCTGGACAAGTCCCTTAGGCATCTTTGTGCCTCTGTGTGCTGCATCCACAGAGCAAGAAAGACAGCAAGAGGAGCTGCTTTATACAAATTAATAAAAGAAAGAACACCTGCAAAATGCTGACAGCAAGACTTAGAACAGGAAGTACTCAATAAATGCTAGCTATTATTATTACCAAGAATTAAATCTGAACTTAGAATGTGTTACCATTTGTTAGTAGGAAAATCAATACAGAAAATTATCACCTTTTACTGCACATACAGATTCTCTATTCCTTTCTCTCTCTAAACAAACAAACTTTTAAACTGGGTGACTGCAGGGCCTTTATTTCTATTGTGTGTGCCTTAAGGTATGAAGGGGACACAATGATCCAATATCCTGTGACTTCCTAGACCACAGAAGTATGAGGCAGAAGGAATGTTTGAGTTTGAAAGGACTCTCAAGATGGGATGGTTCCTATAGTATACACTGTCAGGGTTAAGAGAACTTTTACCCTCCCACTGAAATAGACATGAAGGTGATGATTACATTATAATAATTATTGACTATGGCTCTTTCAAGTTGCCCTTACACTGAAGTTCTCAACCCTTCTTAGCTTTTAAGAATCACCTGGGGCAGTTTAGGAAAATATAGATGTTGGAAATTCAGTTTTTAATTCAGTTTTAAATTTCTGAGGTGCACAGCTAGGGCTTAGACCACTGCTTAAAATAACAAAGATTTTTCTGTTTGTTTTGTTTTCTTTTGTTTTGAAATGGAGTCTCAGCCTCTCAGCCTCTATCAGACACATTGCTCATTACCTCAGAAAGTGCTTTCATTGAGGAAAAAGTTATCTCATTAAAGAATCAAAACCTTAACACTATCCATTGTTCCTCACTGAATTGTTCCTTTATAAAGCTTTCCACTGATATTTCCTCCAAAGAGAAATGTTTAATAAAAGCAAACAAACAAAGGAAAGAAAATAAACCATGCATACTGAGACTTAACTTATAAAATCACAATGTGGTACGTGGAAAAGCCCTGCTGGATTTCAGATTCATGAACTAAGAGTGGTATTCGTCGCTTTTCACTAACGGAATATACAAAACTGTCTTTATAACATGGTACTATAAATGCTTTCCAAATAACACTGTAGAAGGCTTGTACAAAGCATGACATTGCATTTTAAACATTTGTAGGGATAATCCTTAATAGACGGACTTTCACATTTCACACTTCTTTCAGATATCTCAACCATTTAATCTCCACTTAAGTTGAAGATTCGGCAAAACAGAAAAGAATCCAACGTTCACAATACTCAGGGTTCAGTGTGTTTTTAGAAGTCTGATTATTTCAAGCAGGGCTTTAGGTTACCAATGGGTCAATTCATTTGAGTGTGAGAATATGCAGTAATTGTTTCCTATTACTCTAGTACACATTCTTGAAGTCTTATGAGGATTCAATTTGGTTTTGCACAATATCAATATGCTTATCTTTCTGCATGAACAATATATGAACATATAGAAGATAATATAATTGTACAGATGCTTCTTTTTGGTTTTTCTCCTAACTGCCTACAGAAGCAAAATAAGACCACATTCTGAAATTATCTATAAAATACGACTAATGGATGACTTGGCCGTCTCCTTAAGTCACTACCCTTGGGGCACTGCCACAGAGATCTGGTAGTTTGCTCCATTACAAATTAGCTATATGACCCTTAGGCAAATCACAAAGCCTCCCTGGGCCTTATTTTTTAAATGGAGATACCTACTTCAAAGCACTACTGAAAGGTTAAATGAAAAAGGTAAAATACTAAAATATTATCTGCCACATAGTGAACAGTAAGCAAATAAAGCTGCAATAATAATTATTCAACAGAAGAGGAAATGGCCTGAAAATACACTGCAAATGAGAGACTGCATCTGTCACCTTCAGTCATAAAGTGTGTCTTGTGTGATCAAGTTGATCAGCATTATATTTTGGGAAACCTTACTCATAATATAATCAAGATATATAATAAATTATTGTCATTTATTCAACTAGCTATAACCTAATGGTAAGAACAGAAATTGGAAAAATGGAAGGAAAATAAATAAATTTCTAATTAACAAGTAAAGCATATCCTCCCTTGCCAATAAAAAAAAATTTCCAAGTTATAAAGGAGTTTGTTTTGAGCCTGATTAGCATGAACTAGTCCATGAGAAACCAGCGTATTGGACTGTGATAGTGTAAAATATATATTTGAACTTCAACCCCATTTCCTGGTATACAACTCCTAAAATACTTAAAATTTCCAGTGACATCTTTTTGTATGCTAATGAGTTAATTGATGGATGGCAGCCCTGAGGTAGCTTTAGGATGGGGCTGGTCAACTGAAAGACCAAGGCCTAATCGGAGGGTTGGGACTTTCTGCCCCATCCCACAGCCTCCAGGGAGGAGAGAGGGGCTGAAGGTTAATTTGATCACCAATGGCCAATGGTTTAATCAATAATGCCTATGTAATGAAGCTTCTCTAACAGTCCGAAACGCCAGGGTTCCAGAAGCTTCCAGACAGCTGAACACATGAAGGTTCCTGGAAGGTGGTATGACTGTAAAGTACATGGATGCTCTGTGTCCCTCTCCCTAACCTCAACCTATGCATTTCATCTGTAGAAGAGACATGTAACATCCTTTGTAATAAACCAGTATATCTAAGAGCTTCCCTGAGTTCAGTGGGCCACTCTAGCAAATTAATCATATCCAACGAGGGCGTTGTGGAAACCCCAATCTAGTCAATCAGAAGCACAGGGAAATCCACCTGGAGCTTGAGACTGGCACATGAAGCAGCAGAGAAAGGAAGGAGAGTCCTGGGACTGGGCCCTCAACCTGTGGGATCTGACACTATCTCCAGGTAAACAGTATCAGAACTGAGTTGAATTAGAAGACAGCCAGCTAGTGTTTGCTGCAGGATTAATTGCTTGCTTGGTGTGGGGGCAAACTGCCAAACATGTGGTCATGGAAGTCTTCTTTGTTGACTGTTGTGGTATGACAGCAGCAGAGGAAAAAACACTGCTTTTTCACTCTCATAGACCTATTGAATTAAGGACCAAATCTTACTTTGTGCAATGGGTTCAGGTGCTGCAGAAAAAAAGAGTGTTCCAAGCCTTGGGAAGAGGAGGCTAAGGAACAGACAGGGCTATCCTGGGTACAAGAGGACATGGAGTGGACCATGGGCTGGATTTCTGCTCAGCTTGCCTCAGGCCCTTGATGACCTCATCAAATCCTCAAACCCTATGAAGCCATATGCAAATCTAACACATTATCTCTTTCTATACATCTTTTTCACTCTGAATAAAGTACACCAAAATGCACATGTCTACATGTGTTCACTTATCCACCCAAACGTGTGTATTGAGTGCCTACAACATGCCAGGCGCCCTGGAGGACACACAGATCCACAGTCATCTCAGCTCACTAGTATTCTCCCAGTATTTTATCATTACAGCAACTGAACCTTTTATCGGAGCTATTTACGTATATTTGCTTTTTCCCCTTTAGATTACAAACTCTTGACGGGGAAGGGCTGCCTTTTCATCATCTTGTTTCCTCCAGCAACTAACAGAGTACTGCACTTACAGAAATTATTCGGTAAATATTTACTGTATGAAATCACTCTTGAGAGCCCACAGTCTCCTTCCCCTGAGGTCTTCAGATTTTAAGACCATCTGCCTGAGGTGGCTACAGCTTTCTAAATTTGGCTGATAGTGTAATATGAAATAAAATGTTTCAAAACATAATCTGGAAAGTGTTTGTGTTTACCCACCCTGACATTCAGATATAAGCAGCAAAAAAATTGGAATTTAGGAAGAGATATGAAATCATCTAAACATGTTATATATAGGCAACTGCATGTCCCAGTGGTCAAACACCCGAGTGAAGGATCAAGCACCAGGACCCCTGACTTGTTCTTGACAACCCAATCCTGGCAAGAGATGGCGCACATCTGCTGTAAGCAGGCAAAGGATGCTGTCGTTCCTCCTGTAGAGATCTAGTAACTAGAATGTTTGTTCAGAAACTTGGGCGGGACAATGAGAAACTCAGTCTGAGAACATTTTAAAAATCGATGAAGGCCAGGCATGGTGGCTCACACCTGTAATCCCAGCACTTTGGGAGGCTGAGGCAGGCGAATCACCCGAGGTGAGGAGTTCGAGACCAGCCTGGCCAACACAGTGGAACCCTATCTCTACTAAAAATACAAAAATTAGCTGGGCGTGGTGGCGCATGCCTGTAGTCCCAGCTACTTGGGAGGTTGAGGCAGGAGAACCGCTTGAACCCAGGAGGCGGAGGCTGCAGCGAGCCAAGATGGCACCGCTGCACTCTAGCCTGGGCAACAGAGCAAGACTCCATCTCTAAATAAATAAATAAACAAAGATAAATTACGGATCCTCTAAAGATCCATTCAAGTCTAGAATTCTACTGGCCTTACGAAACTGACCATAAAATAAAAAAGTGCAGGATCAAAAGCAAGCCTAGCACCATCCCTCCAATACTTATTTTGATTCCCAAAGGGTGAAAGGCGGAAGGTAAAGCTGAAAGCAGAGAGAAGGAACAAAATATTCCAGGCATCAAAACAGCACCTTTCTGATAAGAAAACACCTAAGGAGTTAAAAATTCTTACTAGAAGTCTGAAAGCTGAAACACAGACCGCTGTAACACTACAGTGCCAGCTATCTCGGAAAATTCTATTCATCTTTGTAAGGACAAGAATTTGGAGCTCAGCCCAAACTTGTCTCAGTCACTTCTCATGATAATAATTTGATTTCTCCCACAGAACAAGTCTCCCTAATCCTCTGATAAACAAGTTTCTAAGCCTTTAAGATGGTTAAGTGAACAAATCCTAACTTCGCCAATGGGAAAATGAGGGCATCAAATGGTAAAATCATCTACAAAGAAGTATGCAACAAGTCAGTAATTAAATAAGTATGCCGTCTCCTCGGTTCTGACGCTATCACAAAATCTGTAGATTTTAAACAAGGTGCTCTTTACATATAAGTTAACTGGAGAATAAAGGTCACTGCAAAAGAAAAACTAAAAGAACCAAAGCAATTGAACTTCATTCATACTTTTTATCAACAGATATGTTGTACAGATTTGTGATGTCCCCTTTCATTAGGGTCCAATTGTAACCCATGTTAAAACAGCATTTGAAATGGATTTTCAACTGAGAAAAAAGACTACCTGGGACACAGTAGCTTATTCAAGGAAGCACACCTTTACTTTCCTCTGTGCTCTTAAAGACATCATATGGATCCAAATCAAAAGCAACTCAAACAGTAAAAATATAAATAAAACTTAATTTTAAAACAAGAGAGAATACCTGGAGTTGGACTAACAGACTGGAAAAAATTTAGATCTGCAACTCATACCACATGCAAAAATAAAGAAAAAAAGCATCATATGCAAATTTAAAACTAAAATATGGAAAGTAATTTTTATAATTGTGGAGTGTTTTCTCTTAGCATGAGAATCAGGCCAGAAACTATAAAAAAAAAAAAAAAAAAGGAGCTAAACTTAGGGAGAGACTGAGAGACTGACATACTTGATAAAAGAGAACTCAAAACTACTCTATTGCAAAAGGTATCTCCAGAAAGCTCAAGGGCAAACTAAGAATTGGAAAAAATACTTGTTTGTTACATGTGACAAAAGACTAATATCCAGAATAGAGATTTAAAATATCAGTACATGTAAAACTCCAAAAGATAAATGAGCAAAACAAATACAAGTGGTCAATAAGCATGTAAACCTAACCTCAGTATTAATTTTTTAGAACATAAACACTAAAACGATAAAACACTTTTTTTAACATTAAAACCAGACAATGAGAAGATGTCTACAATATATTGGTAAGTGAAAATAAAGGCAATGTACAACATATCTGTGGTCAAAAATAGTACATATTGAATAATTCAATTTTTTTAAGTGTGCATGTGGGTTTCTGAAAAGTCTGTTGACAGTGATTGCCTTTGGGGAATGAGACTGCAGGAGAGATTTATGCTCCATTTTATACATTTCTGTGTTACCTGAAATTAATATACTTACAAATTTAAAAACTGAAGAACTTTTGGTAAAATGAAGTTTGCCTAAAATCGTGCACACACATGATATGGCTTGGGTATTTGCTCCCTCCAAATCTCATGTTGAAATGTGATCCCAGGGTTGGAGGTGGGGCCTAGTGAGAGATGACTGAATCATGGAGGTGGATCCCTCATGAATGGCTTAGCACCGTCCCCTTGGGGTTAAGTGAGTTCTCCTTCAGTTAGTTCACATGAAATATGGTTGTTTAAGAGAGTCTGGGACCTCCCCCTTCTGTCTGATTCTTCCACTCTCACCACGTGACATGCTGGCTTCCGCTTCAACTTCTACCTAAAAGCTTTCTTAGGTCTCACCAGAAGCCAAGCAGATGCCAGTACCATGCTTCCTGTACAGCCTGCAGAACCGTGAATTAAACCCCTTTTCTTTGTAAATTATCCAGCCTCAGGTATTTCTTTATAGCAACACAAAAAGGGGCTAACACAATGCATCACAAATGTGCTCCCTATTGTATACGGTAGCATATTCCAGAACTGCACTCATCAGATTACCCATAAAGAAATTAATCTGGAGACCATGTCCTCTAGGTACACGTCTGTATACACCTGACTAAGGAAAATTCAGAAAGTGTGAAGTCCACACAGTGCCTGTTTCCCATAGTACTCCAAAGTGCAGTAAAGGCCAGAAGGTCCCCAGCTGTGTCCGGGCAGCATGAGGTGTCCCTTAGCTGGCCAGCAGGCTAGTAACAGAAAGAACTCATCACTTAGATTCGGAGGAAACCAAGGAACTGGGAGGGACAAGGGCAGCCGTACAATGTGTTGGTTTTTCCTTAAACCTAGGTGGGAAGCACCTCCCATTTCCTATGCTGAAAATGTTCACTATCTCCCTCGTTTTACTTCCGCATCAGAATTTACTCAGTCTCAACGGTTTTCATTAGCACTTCAGCCAAGTCTCTTGATTCCCATTAGGAGGGAACACATTCTTTTCAGGCAGAGTCTGTGTCTACTGTTCTCTCCTCCATTCCACCTCTTTTCTTGCAAGGATTTTCACAATTTCACCACTCAACATGTATGTACTTATGTACTCACAATTTATAAGAAACTCGTAGTGGATATCCACCCCCTCCTCCAGTGGTATTCTGTCACAGTTTAAATGTTTATCGTCAAATACATATATATATATATACACACACATATACATACATATATATATATATATATATATACACACATATATACATACATACATATATATATATATATATATATATATATATATATATATATATTTATTTATTTATTTTTTCCTTGAGACAAAGTCTAGCTGCCCAGGCTGGAGTGCAATGGCGCAATCTCGGCTCACCGCAACCTCCGCCTCCCAGGTTCAAGTGATTCTCCTGCCTCAGCCTCCCAAGTAGCTGGGATTACAGGCGTGAGCCACCATGCCCGTCTAATTTTTTTGTATTTTTAGTAGAGACGGGGTTTCTCCATGTTGGTCAGGGTGGTCTCGAACTCCCCATCTCAGGTGATCCGTCCGCCTCGGCCTTCCAAAATGCTGGGATTACAGGTTTGAGTCACTGTGCCCGGCCCCCCAAATCATTTTTAAAGGCAAGCTCCCAGGCCACAGACCTCAAAATGCACCAACACGCATAAAAGACAAAGGCTATGGAAATAATGATTGATCAAGGGACACAGCAACTAAATGCAGCGCCTGACCCTAGAGGGACCCTATATGGAGGGGAATGATGCTACAAAGGACATTTTCGAGCAAATGGTAAAACTGGGATACAAATAATAGATTTGGTGTGAGTAAGGAATCGATATTAGCTATCTGAAGTTGATAACTAAACCTCTGTTACCCAAGCAAATATCTCTATCGCACTGAAGTGCTTAGGGGTAAAAGGTCATGAAGTTTGTAACCTGAAAACTGTGTGTGTGGGTGCGTGCATGTGCCATGTGCCTGTGTGCATTGTTGTGTAGACACAGACTGAGAGGAAAGGATGGGAATCCATTTTTGACAATCCAAAGCTGGAGGACAAATGTCCTGGGGGTGGTTACTTCCGACAGGCTCCTTCACAAGCCCATCTTATTTCCTGCTGCTACAGGAAATGCAGTATTTGTGCACACACATAAGTAAGGGAGCACCTCTGCCTTTATTCTGCAGCCAAGGAAGGGGTTTAGATGACCGTGCCCCCAGCCCCGGGCAGAGCAGGCTGGACTTGCCCCACCACTCCCTTGATCACCTTCCTCACAACGGCCGCTCTCAGTGGGTCCAGGGCACATCCTATTCGGGGAGAGAAGCCTTTGGCAGCTCTTTACCCACCAACATGCTCACGTGTTGTACCTCTAATATAAGGGATGCTCCATGTAGATAACACACAAACCAATTATTAAAAGCAGATCCTTTTAAACGCATTCAGGGATGCTCACAGCAACTCTTCAGTGACTCCTTTCAAAGCCTCCAGAGGCTTTGAAACTAGGCAACTCCAAAATTCAAATGAGCTTTCTTAAAACAATGCTCACCCATGTATTTGCTGTGGAAGAGTGACAAAATAAAAACATACACTCTATCAGCCTAGGGAAACCAAAACAATCTTTTAAAAAAAATTAGTGGGACACAAAACCCCAATTTAAAAAGCAACATGCCTCTCTGAAGTGAGGATGCCTTGCTTGCAGGCTTACCTGAGTGGGGAAGAGCAGCGGGCTCCTGCTCACACAGCCTGGCAAGAACCTACAAATGAAGAAAGAGACCCATTCAGACTCCCAGAACAACTCTTGGTCAGCAGTTTCAACATGTGGTCTGAGGAATCCCCAGGGGTCCACAGGGTCAAAACCATTTTCATGTTGATACCAAGGCACTATTTATCTTTTCTACTCTTCTTCTCTCCCCAGTGTTCGATGGAGTTTTCCAGAGGTTGAGGAACATACGATAGCACAAGAGATTGAATGAAGAAGCAGGTAAGAGAATCCAGCTGTCTTCTCTTCAGCCACACATTAATGAAATTTGCAAAAGTATAAAGCAATATAATTCTGCTCATTACTTTTTCTGTTTTGAAAAATAATTATTTTCATAAAATGCTATTTATAATAAAATATAAAGGGGTTATTACCATCATTCTTAATTAATAAATATTTTCAAAATTTCTCAGTTTTAATTCTAGTATAGTAAACATCAACAGAGATAAGCCACATAATCAAAAGTTCCATGGAATTCCAATAATTTTTAAGAACGTCAAAGGAATCCTAAAACCAAAAATTTTGAAAACTCCAGGTATCCATTTTGGTACTAAATTCTGTTGAACTACATCTTTTAATGATAATGGCGATGGTCAATATTAGGTATGCAGTGCTACGTACTAGACACTCTACTAAAACACTTTATATATGTTATTTCCAAACTCACCACCACATTAAAAGAAAAAAACAATTGGTCTTTTCTGCCTTCCTGGTTGAGGAAACTGGCACTCAAGAGACTGGTTATTTGCCCCAGGCGAATCAGCAAGCGCAGGATGTGAACTCAAGTCATCTGGACTCCTAAGATCATGCTTTCAACACATCATTTTTTAAAATAATCAACGTAAGAATTTCTGCAAACTCAACTACAGCCAAGCGCCCTAGGGCTCACACTCAGACCTGACACTGCATGGACTCAAAACGCAACAATGTGGAGTATACACTTCAGACAAAACTATATAAACATGGGTTTATGAAGCCAGTGTGGCTCTCTAAATGCTGCCAAGATCCAGCACTGCTTCCTAAAAAAGACAAGACAAACCCCAAGAAGGAGGGCACCCCAGAGACAGTCCCAGTTTACAAGTGTTAACCCAGCATAGCATTAACAGCGTTCCTTTCACTTTGAGAGGCGATAAACTATAAGGTCACCTACCGGGAAGGCTATGACTCGTCTTAGTTTTAAAAAGCCCTCCTTTTTCAATCTGTCTCCATTTTTATGAAGGACAGAAACAGTAGATGAAAAATTACCAGTAGTCCCTCAACTGCGGCTGAATGTAAGATTTTGTGCCGTGGTTAGGATTAGGGTGGGGAAAGAAATTCTCACTGACCATTTTTGTAGCCAATGTAGACAGTTCTGAGTTTAAAAATCTGATGCATAATATAGTGGGTACCTAAAAAAAAAAATTAAACACAGCATTACCATATAACCCAGCAATTCTACTTCTGGGCATACAGCCAAAAGAACTGAAAGCAGGATCTCGAAGATGAACTGGCACAGCCCTGTTCTCAGCAACATTATTCACAGTGGCCCAAAAGGTAGAAGCAACCCAAACGCCCATTAGATGAATACAGAAAACAACATATGGGAAATACGTGCCGTGGAATATTATTCAGCCTTAAAGAGGAAGCAAAGTCTCACACAAACTACAACATAGAAGAACCCTGAAGATACCACGCTAAGCAAATAAGCCAGTCACAAAAAGGACAAATACTGTATGATTCCATTTATATGAGGTATGTAGAGTAAGTCAAATTCATAAAATCAGAAAGTACAACGGTGGCTGCCAGGGATTGGGGTGAGGGGAAATGGGGTTAAATAGATACAGAGTTTTCAAGATGAAGAGGTCTGAAAATGGATGATGGTGATGGTTGCACAACAGTCTCAATCTACGTAACATCAGTGGACGTCTAGTACCGTCAGGGACTCAGACACAGTACTAGGTATAAGGTGAACCTCATGTTACAGTGCTTTGCAGACACTGTGTCTTTTATAGACTGGAGGTTTGTGGCAACCCTGCATGGAGCAAGTCTATCGGCACCATTTTTTAAGTGCTCATTTGGTGTTTCTGTGTCACACTGTGATTCTCACAATACTTCGAACTTCGTCATTACTTTTATGTTTGTTATGGTGACCTGTGATCAGCGATCTTGGATGGAACTAGTGTAACTGTTCTAGGGTGGCATGAGCCACATTCATATAAAACAGTGTATTTAATCCATAAATATTGTGTTCTGATGGCTCCACCGACCAGCCTCCCCCATTTCTCTCTCTCTCCTCAGACCTCCCGATTCCCTGAGACACAACAATATTGAACGTAGGCCAATTAATAACCATACAACAGCCTCTCCGTATTCAAGTAAGAGTCAAACAACTCACTTTAAATAAAAAACCAGAAGCAATTAAGCTCAATGGGGAAGACATGTCAAAAGCCAAAACAGGCCGAAAGCTAAGCCTCTTGCGCCAAACAGCCAAGTCGCGAATACAAAGGAAAAGTTCTTGAAGGAAATTAAAAGTGGTACTTCAGTGAACACACAAATGATAAGAAAGCAAAACAATCTCGTTGCTGATACGGGGAAAGTTTGAGTGTTCTGGATAGAAGATGAAACCAGCCACATTTCCTTAAGCCAAAGCCTAGTTCAGAGAAAGGCCCTAATACTCTTCAATTCAATGAAGGCTGAGAGAGGTGAGGAGGCTGCAGAAGAAAAGTCTGCAGGTAGCAGAGGCTGGTTTGTGAGGTACAAGGAGAGCTACACTAAACAGCAAATGTTCTATGTAAATCAAACAGCCTTCTATTAGAAGACGTCCTATAGGGCTTTCACAGCTAGAGAGGGGAAGTCAATGCCTGGATTCAAAGCTTTAAAGGACAGGCTAATTCTCTTGTTAGCAGTTAATGCAGCTGGTGACTTTAAGTTGAAACTCATGCTTAGTTACCATTCCAAAAATCTTTGGGCCCTTAAGAATTATGCTAAATCTACTCTGCCCGTGCTCTATCATTGGAACAACAAAGCCTGGATGACAGCACATGTGTTTACAGCATTATTTACTAAATATTTTAAGTCCACATTGAAACCAAGTGCTCAGAAAAAAAGATTCCTTTCAAAATGTTACTGCTCATTGACAATGCATCTGGTTATCCGAGACCTCTGACAGAGGTGTACAAGGAGATGAATGTTGTTTCTTGCCTGCTAACAACATCCATTCCGCAGCCCATGGATTAAAAAGTAAATCTGACTTTTAAATTTTATTATTTAAGAGGTAATTTTCATAATGTTATAGCTATCACAGATAGCAATTCCTCTGGTGGATCTGGGCAAAGTAAACCGAAACCCTTTTAAAATCACCATTCTAGATGCCATCAAGAACATTCACGATTCATGGGTGGAGGTCAAAATATCAACAATTAACAGGAGTTTGGAAGAAGTTGACTCCAACCTTCAAGGATGACTTTGGGGTGGGGGCTTAACATTTCAATAGAGGAAGAAATAGCAAGAAAACTAGAATTATAATTGGCGCCTAAAGATCTGACTAAATTGCTACAAACTCAGGATCAAACTTGAATGGATGAGGAGTTGCTTTTTGTAGAGGAACAAAGAAACTGGTTTCTTGAGATGGAGGTGAAGATGATATGAACATTGTTGCAAAGGATTTAGGAAATTACATAAACTTGGCAGGGTTTGAGAGGAGAGACTCCAGTCTTGAAGTTCTACTGTGGGTCAAATGCTATGAAACAGCATGAAGTCTTTCATGAAAGGAAGAGCCGATTGATGTGGTAAACTTCATTGTTGTCTTATTTTAAGAAATTGCCATACCCAGCCCAACCTTCAGCCACCACCACCCTGATCAGTCAACAGCCATCAACACTGAGGCAAGATTCTCCACCCGCAAAAAGACTGACTTGCTGAAGGCTCAGATAATCATTTGCATTTTTTAGCAAAAAGTATTTTTAAATTAAGGTTTGCACATTTTTTAGACATAATGCTACTGCATACCTAATAAACTCCAGTATAGCGTAACTGTAACTTTTAAATGCACTGGAAAAAAAAAAAATCTGTGTGACTTGCTATACTGCAACATTTGTTTTATTGCAGTTGTCTGGGAAATAAGCAAACCTCCGAAGTATGCCTGTACTGAAAGGCAACGTGCGGAAGCCTAGGTAAAATACATTACTGAACTATAAAAGATAAATGTTTCTTACAAAAAAAAAAGGCATGATATTCTACAATTTAAAAAACCTCAAAGCCTCTGAAGCATCAGTATTTTTCAAAATTTTGGGATCTCATTTTTTCTCTAAGGAAGCTTTCTACTCTCATCTATATTCTTTATGCCGATACGTTATGAAGTCCTCAACTTGAGTTTACAAAATAAGTCTTTTAAAGTCCTGTTAATGAAACAGTCTGTGTTTTGTGACTAAATATCTTATGCTTAATGTCTCTTCTCTAGGAGAGACACTTGGTGTTGTAATATCCCCAACACAATGAACAGTCTGTAAAAGGCACTTTTCCTTCCTTTGTTACAGCAAACATCCTGTAAACAATTAATGTTCCACTCTTTTAACTGACGGCTTTTGTTTACTGACAGGAAAGGAAACCACAAATTCTTCAAGTAGCAATAGGGACTGCAGAGTTTTACTTCATTTCCTACTAAGCAGGTGGTTTATATGAGGCAACTGGCTATTGTATTTTACCTTGTTTTGCCTTTAGACAGGAAAAAAAGAAATGAGCTTTCAGCAGCACAATCTTCTCAAGCAACAGAGCTTGGGGCCAGGTGCTGGGATGCCAAGTGTGAGGGGGAAAGGTTCTCCCCTGTTCCCTGGTCTATCACTGCGAGGAGGCTCCTCACACTTCATCAGGAAGCTCTGTGTGAAAACCAGATTTGCAGACAAACAGAGGTCTGGCTCTTTGTTCTTACCAGCAGGTTCATCAGCTGTTTTCTCCGCAAAAGAAAGTTCTGAGAAAGTGAAGGCAAACATTTTCTTTCCACTGAAATGAACACAAATATTCCATCAAGCTCCGTTTCTCTACTTACTGTTAGGATGGATTTGCTAGTATCTGGGGAAAGCCAGCATCAAAAAAAAAGGCTACTTTTTGTTTTTGTTTGTGTTTGTTTTGCAGCCCCACACCACCACACCTCAGAGTTTTCCATTAGCCCCAAAACACTCCGGTCTAGACTCTAGACACCAGCAAGGTCCAGTTCATGACCACATATCCAGGACTAAGCACATGCTCTGTACTTAAAAAGCTCCCAGTACATATTTTCCAAAAGAGAAGAAGAACAGAGGAGGGAGGCAGGGCATTTCCTACAGGATAAGCAAGTGTCTGCTGAAGGAAGAACACAGCCATTCCCATAAGGGAATCCATAGAATAGGTTGAACCATATGAAACCACCAATGGTTCTCTATTTTTGACCTAAAAAAGCAGCAATTTCATGCAATCTAATCTAACCTCTGATGCTCCTCAGTGAGCTTCCCTATTCCATGCTATTGCAGGAGCCATGGGAAAACTTCCTCTTCACTCTCCAAGCTCGATGAAAAATCAACTAAAGGCAGATTAATAGGAGAAAAAGCAAATATATTAATATGAACAGAAGTCTCACAAAACAAAAGAACTTAAAGAAATGGCCAGATGGGTGAAGCTTTTTCTGAGGTTACAGAAAGAATGGGGGCTTGGAGTGTTACTGAAAAGGGATCCCGATCCAGACCCCAGGAGAGGGTTCTTGGGTCTCACACAAGAAAGAATTTGAGGTGAATTCGTAAAGTGAAAGCAAGTTTATTAAGGAAGTAAAGAATTAAAAAATGGCTACTCCACAGGCAGAGCAGGAGCATGGGCTGCTCAACTGAGTATACTTATAGTTATTTCTTGATTACATGCTAAATAAGGGGTAGATTATTCATGAGTTTTCCAGGAAAGGGGCAAGCAATCCAAGAAGTCACAGTTCCTCCCCTTTTTAGACTAAATAGTAACTTCCTGGTGTTGCCATGGCATTTGTAAACTGTCATGGCACTGGTGGGAGTGTCTTTTAGCATGCTGATGCATTATAATTAGCATATAATGAGCAATGAGGATGACCAGAGGTCACTTTTGTCACCATCTTGGTTTTGGTGAGTTTTGGCAGCTTCTTTACCTCAACCTGTTTTATCAGCACGGTCTTTGTGACCTATATCTTGCGCTGACCTCCTGTCTCATCCTGTGACTAAGAATGTCTAACCTCCTGGGAAAGCAGCCCAGTAGGTGTCAGCCTCATTTTACTCAGCCCCTGTTCAAGATGGAATCACTCTGGTTAAAATGCCTGACAGGAGCATGGCCAAAAACAGGTTATGATGGTACCTCAAGTTATGATGACAGGACAGGTTATGGGAAGGGGAGGAGTCCTGGCTAGCAAAGGTTGCCTCATGATGCAGATGAAACCTCACATGGGTAGCAGCCCTCAGACAGAATGGATGGTAAATTTTTTTTCAGACCTTTATAGGTGTCAGACTCTCAGTTAATCTTGCCTAGATGAGGACAAAGGAGGGCCTTAGAGAAAGCCTGGCTGTATTAATGCAGATTCCCTACAGATGCAAATCTCCCCTACAAAAGACAGCTTTTCAGCTGTTCTTGCATTTCAAGCCCAGTGAATAGCCATCTTGAAATATGTCAAAGTATATTTCAGGATAAAATACTTTGGTTCCCTTCACTCTCTTTACCATCAATCCTTTATTCTGCTACAACACTAACTTTATCCCTCTCCTTTGTGCCCTCACAGCCAACTGCCACATGAATGGCCCATAGCACCTATAACTCAACATGCAGAAGATGGAGTCTGCATCCTTCCTGACAAATCTCCTCCTCCACCCATGTTCCTGACCTGGGCTAACAGCTCCAGTCTTCTCTTACCCTCCCTCTTGTGCTGCAACCATGGCACCTAAAGTTTCTGTCCTCCTCGTGTCCCTTTCCCACATTCCGTTCTGGTTCTTGTAAGGAACCATCCCTGCCCTTGATGTCATGCTGTCCCCTGAGCTGCTCTGGGCACACCATTCCCTTAGCTCGGTGACTAGTTCAAGGATATGTGCAGGCCATGGCAAGGTCATATACGGTTTTCTCTGGGATGATGTCGGGATCTTAAGAAGTTCAGTTCTGCCAAAGGAACTAAGCTAGGAGGGTGTGGGCTGCAGCCGCTGGCCACTGTCTCATAGATCACAGAGAAAGGGCTGTTATGCAGAGCTCAACGTAGGGAAGGCAGAGCAAGGACAGAGAGAGAGAGGAAAAAAGAGGCCTTCTGACAATGTTTGAGCCCCTGAATCCAACAATGCCTGTAGTATGCCACCCCTAAACATCCCAGTTACTTGAGCTATGCCTTTCTTTTTTTGCTTAAGTTACTTTGAGTTTCTTTGACTGATAACCAACAGCTCACACAGACACATCTGTTCAAAACTATACTATGTGTAACTTAAATCTCAAAATAACCTTCAAATAATTCCTTAATATGGCCCAAGTACCTTCGTAACTCAACTTCCCTACCTGACAGTCAGAATACACATTAAATGACCTTTCCCAGATGAATATGCCCTAAAGGTTCCTGCCTCTGTCCCTTCTATCAAGACGTCCCCTTACCCAAAATAAACAGCATCCTTTGCGCCTAAAAGCCCCATATTCCCCACAAAACTTTCTCAGACATTTCCAAGAGAAAAACTGTTAAAGAAAAACTTCCTAGATAGAAAAGTGTCTCTTCCTCTCTACTACTCACTTAGAATACTACTTGTACCTTTTGCTGGAACATTTTTCAGTCTCTTATGTAACTTCTTGATAGATATGTCTGCAACCTTCAACTGTGAATTCTTAATGGGCAGAAGCCTTATGCATAATAATAAATGGTTGGTGAAATGAATAAGCAGGCAAGCTTGTTGCATTCAAGAAACATTTGTTGATGATGATGTCATGATTAATTTCATTCACTGTCTATGCTTTTTCCATAATTTTTTTTTCAACTTTTATTTTAGATACAGGGGGTACATGTGCAGGTTTGTTACATGGGTATATTGCACCCCGGCAGTGAGCACAGTACCCAAGAGATAGTGTTTTACCCCATCCTCTCCTTCCTTCCCTCCCTCCCTTCCTCCCTCTACTAGTCTGCAGTATCTTATTCCCATGTTTACATCCATAGGTGCTCAATATTTAGATCCCACTTATTAATGAGAACATGTAATATTTAGTTTTCTATACCTGCATTGGTTTGCTTAGGATTATGGTTTCCAACTCCATCCATGTTGGTATGAACGACGTGATTTCATTCTTTTCATGACTACACAGTATTCCATAGTGTATATATACCACATTTTCTTTATTTAATCCACCACTGATGGGCACCTAGGTTGATCCCATGTCTTTGCTGTTGTGAACAGCACAGTGATACACATAAGAGTGCATGTGTCTTTTTGGTATATGATCTATTTTCCTTTGGTTATATACCCAGTAATGGAATTGCTGGGTCGAATGGTAGTTCTAAGGTCTTTGAGAAATCTCCAAACTGCTTTCCACACTGGGTGAACTAATCTGCATTCCCCCCAACAGTGTATAAGGGTTCCCATAATTTTTTACATTAATTCTTCTCTGAGCTTTTAAGAATAAATAATTAAGTTATTGTGATTATTGGGATAGCCTCCATGTGGTGTTGAAAATTCTGTGGCTCTTTCAGTAATTCCCACAAACAAGATATATAAGGAAGACTCGTTGGAAACCAATACATCCCTGCTAAATTCAAGCTAAAAAGCTTTAACTACTCCACAATGAACACAAAGCGCAAATTTCTAGTCAAGGCAACCAGGCCACTAGCAATATCTCCTATTTATTTTTCCAGCTTCTTGTCCTGGTGCTCTTGTTCTCACACTCAAATAGTTGTTCTTCCAACTTGCCTGGGTAAAGGGTGGAGCAGTGAAAAGTCATGATGCTGCTTGGTGAACACACACCTCTTCCACCCAATTTGTAAAACATTACAAATAATGATATCATTTTAGTATGGGAAGCAGGGACAATTTTATTAGCAGAAAAGATATAAGTTAGGAAGTAATAGGCATCATCACAAGCACGACTATCCAGGAAAAAAACAGGACATAAAATTTAGCATATATAGCTGATACAGGTTTTTCCATCATTTACTAGTTTGCTTTTACCATCTGCTTGTAGACAAGCAAAACACTAAAAATGAGAAAATATCACTCATTAAAGTTGTAGCTTATATTAGTTATCTTAAGAGTTGAATAGTGATACAGCCTGAAGACCATCCATGGTCAAATGGAGCACAGTGAAAACCATAGTGTCCTCCATTCTCTGTGTAGGCTGAATAAAGCTCTAACTTAATGATGTTTCAATGCCATAAACATTTCAAGACTGGGGAATTCTATTATAAACCTGAAATAGTACTCATTAAATCAATAAAGAGAGGAGAGAATAAACTGTATGTGTTAAATTCAAGAATATTCTCTATTTTAAGGACAGCTACTAAAAGCAACTGTAATAAACTAAGGAAGTCTAAATTCACTCAAACAACTACAGGTGTCCATGAAAGGTAATTATGTCTCAAACTGATAACTCTGCTAATAGTACTATCTCTGTTTCTGACACTGAAAGATGCTGGGGCTCAGAAAATGATGTAACAAAGGCCTCAGAAGGAGCTCTCTCTGCCCTCCTGTCTCTGGTCTCTCATTCTCCTTCGAAGCAAGCCATAGAAACTAGAATCCCTCTTCCCAAAGACAGGTCATAGAAACTAGAATCCCTTTTGCCCAAAGCTAGCTATAAAACCTAAACGTATTAACTCTTCCCCGCTCTCTGTATAAAAACTGGCCATAAAGAAATTATCTGAACTACCATGTTTGATTGTAGATCATAAGATGCCCATTCCAAAGAGAGTCCTGCACCATACCCAGAAGGAAGGAGAACATACTCAGAGAGGCCAAGAAGAATTCTAGACAGACAGGCCTTGCTGGGCTTCCCCATTCAGTCGGTTAGAAATCAATCATATCCTTTTAGTCCAATCTTTTTTTTTTTAGACGGAGTCTCACTCTATCAGCAGGCTGGAGTATAGTGGTGCGATCTCTGCTCACTGCAACCTCCGCCTCCCAGGTTCAAGCGATTCTCCTGCCTCAGCCTCCCGAGTAGATGAGACTACAGGTGCATGCCACCACGCCCAGCGAATTTTTGCATTTTTAGTAGAGACGGGCTTTCAGCATGTTGGCCAGGATGGTCTCGATAGAGACCGTGTGATCTGCCCATCTTGGCCTAGTCCAATCATATTTCTGCACAGCTGACCATACTTTGTTGAACCTAAGCATAAAAATGGACAGTTTATCCTGTATCTTTGGGTCTTCATTCTGAAGGCTCTCATGTGATATAAAAATGTGATCAAACAAATTTGTATGCCTTTCCTCTCATTAATCTACCTCTTGTCAATGATTTTCAGTGAACCTTTCAGAGGGTGACAGGGAAGTTTTCCCTTGGCCCCTACAAAGGGAAAGTATCCATTCTCAGATGAACTTCTTAAATCATACTTAAATGACTACTTATACAAAACGCTAGATGGAAACCTGTGAAGAGTTAGGTCAACCAGACAGAAGAAAAATTAAAAAGGAAAAATAAATTTGTAGAAATTTGTCTGCAATAGGCTTGAGCACTTCTGGAAGAGAATAAATAAATCCATCATTAGAAGGTTATATAACTATGTTGCCATCCATATATGGGGGAGAGAGGAAGTATTGTGGCTGATTTACATCAAACATTCACTAAGTAGTAAGGGGATATTTCATTTAAGCCCCCATTACTTCACAGTGTTCAGATTTAAACCATTATATATCTCCTCAATTGGGGTAGAGATCTTGATTTTTATACACCTAAAAGTAGAAACACAAAGCTAACTTCTGTAATAAATGTACAATTTGGGGAAATACAATGAAACCATTTGAAATGTAATAAAAGTGAATAATCTTTACCTATCCATTTGGGTAATTTGCTGTATTCAAGTAAACACAACTTCTATCAATTTTCTCAGCAGCAATGTATTAGAACCAAAGATGACAGTTCTATAAACATAGCAGAATATACTCTTCTGGAGGCTTACTCTTATTTTCTAGCTAAGTGCCTTTCTCCCCACAGTAAAAGAAGATATTTACAATCTCATATATGGAAATGGTCATAGGATCACCACAGAACAATTCAGACCTCATTATATAAGCACAGATGAAGACCTACAGTGTCTAAGGGGCAGTGGGGAAAGGGACAGGCCAATGGTTAATGCCTAATGGAAACTGATCCAAAGAGAATAATTTTCTTCTCTAATATTCTCTCTCCTCCTCTCTCTGTGTTTCTCATCTCCAAAACTACTTCCTACTCCAAGGAACAGCTTGATACTGGAAGCTCTGTGCACATGTAAAAGGGTAAAGTAGAACAATGAAACCATACAAAGAGAACAAAGGAGGAAGAAGGCCAATCCTGGAAGCCTCATTCTCCATAACAAGGTTCCCTTAATCTAAAAACCTACCAAGGGAGGCAAACACAGAGAAGAAGCTGCTAAGAGTGCTGATACTGAACATGCAAATCAAAGGGCTTATAGCAACAGCAGAAAGTCAAGATGGCAGGTTTGGTAATAACACAGCTACTGACTTGCAAACACTCCAAAAATGCTTGCTGAACTGAATTAAATAGTTCACAGCTTGAAGTAGGAAAAACCATGATGAGCAAGACTGGAAAAGGTGGTACCTCTAATCTGTAAAAATAATAACAGCAATAAAGAGAAAACTATGAAGGAAATAGAGTTGGAATATTTCAAAACAAAAGGCCAACACAAAAAGAAGATAATATTTACTTAGCTTGGCTTCATCAGCTAACTCAGAAAAATCCCTCATGAAAGCAAAGCACAAGACTCGGTTTCTCCTTGAGACCCTGTTTGTTAGCTCTGTCTCCGCACAGCGATACAGTTTGCACAGGGGATTCTGCCACAGTTCTGCCACCTGTACTCTGATATTTTCTCAGTGATCATGTGGGTCCTCTCTCTGTGTCCAGAGGAGTCAATTAAAAAGACATTCATAAATTGAATGTCTAGGTTTCACACATCCACATCCTCAGAAGCAGGTGTCCACTACAATGTATTTATTAATATTTTATCAGATGTCATTTTATCTAGACAAGTTCATCATCGCCACAGTTATTACCAGGGAGTCCTACTGCAAAGGGCAATTGAAGAGCACCTGGCTTCCTCCCAAAAGGCTCCAAAGACCGAACGACTCCAACCTGAGTGTTCGAGATTCACAGGAAGAGCTCGTCACGTAATCACACAAATCAGAAAACTGAAGAGAAAAATAAAATGGGTCAAAATATCAACTCACACAAAAACAGCTACTCTAAATGACTTAAAATTTCTTTTAATGAAGAATTTTTAAAAAGCTTCTATAGAAATAACAAGATATTCTTCTAGGCATGAAAGCTTTCTCTTCTAGAGCCACCCAAGAAAAACACACTTGTGATTCTTCATACACAGAAAACAAGCAAACATCATCACTACCTAGTTACAATGCGAAACTGCTGGGAAAACAGGAGTGAAACAGGAGTCTTTGTCACAAACAGCATCAATTACATAACCAATGTGATGCTGTCCCTTCATACTGGGCACATTCCCAATCAGGGGAAAGAACACTGGTTGGCTTTTTAAGTGAATAATGATAAAGACTGCGTCTATTATTTTTGGAGTATGTCTACACAGCTGGTGTCATGGGCCTTGATGGTAATAGGAAACAGACATACAAGGGTAGGGAGACTGAGGATGACGGTATCACAGGAAGGTGGGATGGGAGGGGCTGTGCAGCTATATTTCACAACTTTATTACTTTTATACTACAAAAAGATTACCTTGACTAATCTTTATTATGAACACAAAACCCATTTGACTTTTTAAAAACTAATGAATTTATGCAGCCATTACACTTGCCCTAATTATTCAAACTGCTACATAAAGTATGAACTGATACACCAGGTACAGATTTAGATGTTCAGGACACAGGAGTCAACAGCCCCAGTCAAAGTGCCACACTCCAGGAACTCTCTTACACATCCCTCCCACATGGCCCCACACGTCTATCACCACACGTATGAGGTATCTGACCCATTTCTGTAATACTAAGTTCATAACGAGTCAAGTCTAGTTCTGTCTCATTTAGCACCTTTCCTGTATGTCTTAAAGTCGTGGTTCTCAAAAAGTATGAACCACGGGCCCCTTAGGATCCCCAAGGCTCTTCAACTGGATCTGTGAGGTCAAACTAGAATTCTAAAGCTGTTATTTGCCTTTTTGTACAGCATCAACAGTACAAGAGCAACAGCATGTAAAAATGTGTGTACCTTACTACACAGCAAGGCAGTGGCCCCACACTGTACTTACTAGCTGTCATCTTACCACATAACTGCAGTTAAAATAAATGAAGAGATCAGTCACCTCACTTATTGTCCTTGATGGATGATATGATTTGGCTGTGTCCCCACCCAAATCTCATCTCGAACTGTAGCTCCCATAATTCCCTCGTGTTGTGGGAGGGACCCAGTGCGAGATAACTAAACCATGGTGGCGGTTTCCCCCATACTGTTCTTGTGGCAGTGAATAAGTCTCACAAGATCTGATGGTTTTAGAAGGGGAAATCCCTTCCACTTGGCTCTCACTCTTCTCTTATCTGCCGCCATGTGAGACGTGCCTTTCACCTTCCACCATGATTGTGAGGCCTCCCCAGCCATGTGGTACTGTGGGTCCATTAAACCTCTTTCTTTTGTAAACTGCCCAGTCTCGGGTATGTCTTTATCAGCAGCAGGAAAACGGACTAATACAATGGAGAAGTAAAAAACTGATTTTATTACGCCTTGACTCTTGAGCACACACACACTATGACTCTGTGTGAAGGAAGGGAAAGCCCTGTTGCAGCATATACTGGTGGCTGTCGCAAGGGTCAGCACCTGTGGGGTGGACCTATGAGGTGATGAGCCACTTTTCTTCATTGAACCCAACCTTGTACTTGACAGAGCGATATATAAACAATGGTTATTCCGACAAGGCTATCTGGCAGGCATTTTAAAGAAAAGAAACAAAACAGGCCCATTTTCGAGGAAAACAGTAAGATTAAGCTTTTATGAAAATTTTAGACTTTCTTAAAACTTGAATAACCACTGTGATCTTGACAATTTCCCTACACTTAAGAATTTTCTGATTCATGACAAGAATTTTTGATATTACAAGTGAAATATATAAACATTTGGGAGATTTTTCTAAGTGGCCAATGCATGATATTCAAAATAATACCTAAAACAGAGTTTTTAAAGTTCATAGATAGGGTTTCAGGATCTACATACATCTCGACCAAACTTTGAGATACCACTTCTCTAGTGTTATATCAAAGAAGATCCACTATTATCTGAAAGGAAATTCAAGCACTCCCTTTTCCAACTACAAACCTGTGTGAGGCTAGGTTTTCTTTGGTTGGATGGCAACCACAGCTACATATCACAACAGATTGAATGCAGATGCAAGGCAAGAAAACAGCTGTCTTCTAATAAGCCAGATATTAAAGATATTCGCAAAAAATAACGAAGCATACTTCTCAATAAGTGTCTTAGTTTTGGAAAATAGTTATTTTTCACGAAAGTATTATTTATGTTAACATACAGGTGGTTATATTGTTATTTTAAATTCAATAATGATTTCTAAAATCCCTTTTTTATTTCTGATATGGTAGATTATGTGATTGATAGAACTCACATAAACAAAAACTCTTTGGAGTCCTCAATTATTTTCCAGAGTGTAAAAAAAAGGCATGAGACTAAAATAATTGAGAAGCACTATCTGAAAGAAACATTTAGGTGGCAGTTCCCTCAAGGAAACACAGGGGCACGTTTATGGAAAAGAATTTGAGACATAAAGCAGGTGAGCTAAAATTTCCTCACCATCGGGTGACAAAACGCAGTTTCATTTCAATTCATTAAGCCAAATACGTATTCACTGAGGTTTCTCTTTAGGGTCAGACAATGATTAAACTATTTAAACATTTGGATCTCCATTAATCTTCCATCAATTTCCCAAATGACTAGTCTTGTGTAACACTACGGTAACACAGTATGTAAATTCACCCAGTTAGCTCACTGGTACTTGTATACTCTCCCAAATCCACTAACATTCACTACATTGTCTTTTGCCACCATTGGCTGAGAGGCTTCTCACTGAATTATTGATTTTCTGCCAATTAATTACCATAGTTAAGATTCAGTTGAGCTTCTCTTCGCAGAAATTCTTTTTTCCAATCTCACTTCTCTTGTACCCTTTGGAGTCTGTTGGGGAATCAAAATAATTGGTAACCTAAGGATAAGATACTGAGTTCTAAAAATATCCTTGGCATAACTTACAAATAACTCAGTTGTCAGACACTTAAATGGGCAAAGCACTGTTCTCCAGTGGATTCCACACTTGGATGCTTTTCAGCTGATCTTCCCTCAACTCTCTGTCAACAACTTTACTACAGGAATCTAAGACAAATCCATTTTACTGAACCCAGGGGAAAACTGATAAGTGCATTCACATATAGGCTCCTGTTTAGAAAAATGGCATGCTTGAGGTATAAGAACTATAAAAAAGAAAAAAGAATCTCCTTATCTATAGTAAGGCATATGCGTTTCAGGAAAGGAAACACAACTTCTAATTCCTGAAACAATACTTGCACAACTAAACAGACACTTCCTGCAGCAGTTCAGAAACCATCCAGCCAAGGAGGACGAATCACAGAACAGGAAGTCATCGCTCTATCTCAAGTCAAGGGTTCCTCTGAGGGCTTCCAGAGCCCACTGGAGTGTGCCTGCAATCCAGCAACGCAATCCGGGAATTCCATCTCTCCTATCCTCTTCCCCACAAGGGAAGTCAAGTCCCCAGACACCTTGCTGGAGCACATCATGGAACAGACAGTCCTCACCTCCCCAATTCCCACAGTCTCTCACCTCCACCTCCAGGGCCCTCCCACGCAGGCTACACAAAACCCCTCAAGAGTTTATCTCAAGATGCCCCATAAAAATGACTCTTGACTTTATTTCTCTAAAAGGTGTGTGTCACCAATTGCGCAGTGAGATTCAATAAAGCTCCATTTATTTTTGTATACAACTTGAGTCTGAAGAAAGTAAATAAATTAAACCAAACTTAATAAAGTTGAAGGAGAAATAAGAAATTTAACTCAGTGATAGCACCAGCATTTTAACAAGACTGCTGGAAGAAAGTGAGCTGGAGTTCATACACACTGTTTTCTGGAAAGCAGAGGGTATGGAGGAGAAACACAGTGGACCTGATGTCACATGCTGATTCAGACCCTAGCTCTCGGGCCCTACCTACTTCCTGAACGGGAACATGGCTTAGAGAAGCACATGGCATTGGGCCTCGCCCATGCAACCAGCCACACACAAATTAGTTCCATCCCTGCATTCCTCCCAATATCTCTACCACCATAAAAAAACAAAAAAAGGAAAAAAAAAATTGTCCTGCAGTGAAAGAATATGAGATCTTCCAACTAACTGCAGACCAAAGTCAGTCATATCGAACAGTGAATTCTTTACCATGCATTAGACAAAAGAAACTGGATTAGAGAAGTGACTCTAAGAGAGAAATGAAACCCACCCCATCAACCTAAAATGCAGACAATACAAACAGGAAGGACTGTGCTTTGTAAGAGTTTCCTCAACATAGTTTACAGCAAACAAAAGGGAATAAACCTTGGTCAAGTTAAAGGGCTGGTTAACGGAAAGCCGGGTAAATCAGAACACGGCTGATTTCAAGGTGTGTGCCCATTTTCCGGAGTGCAGCCAACACAGGGGAGCAGTGATGAGTGCTCACCGTCTCTCTTGGCCTTACTGACCTCCAGCACCCTATCTGAAAATAGCAGCCCACATAGGAACAATGACAAAACAGCCAAAAAGCATTTAAATGGAAAGAGTTAGTTAAACAAAAATTAGTAACTCGGCCTATTACAAAAATAGTTCACATGTGATTCCCTATTTCCTTGACCAAATTGGAAAATAATTTAGCTGTTTATATTTCAGAGAGAAGATCAACACACACAGGTACTCGAGTACTGACATTTCCATATTGGTCATGACGGGATCAGTCCTGTAAGGTTTGCTACTCATGAGTACTGTGCTGCCCATTACCTGTTCTACACCAAACCCAGCTCCTCCCTGGGTCTGCCGAGGATGGGCAGTGGAGCCCTTGGGCCAGGAGCCCCCACCAGGGCCAGGAATGTGGCTGCCTCTGGCTGGTCTCCAGGGAGGATGAGGTTTAACCTTTAACCCAGAATGGCATAGCCATCTGGCACCTCTGCCTTTTGTTGTGTGTTGCCTTTAAGCTCTCTCTTCAGGCCTTGTGATGCAGTTTACTGACTGGCAAGGTTTTCTCTCAGTTTTCTAGTCTCCTTAGTGAGGCCATGTTAGGGCAGAGTCTAAGAAAATCAAAAAGATGCGGTACCTTATGACAAGGAGAGAGGAAAATGCTTCCGAGCCCTTGTACCAATAAACTCCTGACCAAGGAGTCAGTGAACGGAGGTTGCTCTACTTCAAAATCCAGTTTATCCCAGCCCAAGAGGAACTCTTGTTCCTCACTTCTTATGTTCTAATTTTTAATTTACTAGAACTGGCTGAGACTCTTGCTTAAAAAAATAAGAACACAGTTGAAATGGCAACAGCCTAAGCCTGTAAGTGCCGCCTGCCATCATAAAGGGCCACTTCTATGGGTGCTTCTAGTGGGACTGAGCCCTTATGTCCCTTTTTTTCCCACTAATCACTCTTAGGAAGGGGCTACCAGAATAAGAAAAAGAAGGAAAACGTGACTGAATTATCCATTGCCACTATTTTACTACTAAAAATAAACTACCAGAGAAAAGAGAGGAAAAAAATATAAAGTTATCAATTCTTACACACACACACTTACTTAGAGGCTGTCTGAAAGCAAGAGGAATATTTAGCACAGACATTTGCAGACACTTACCGTCAGAATTAAAATGGGAAGCTGCATAGATAGAAGTCACTGAATAATTAGCCATGAAGACAATTTTCCTCCGCTATCTGCCAGATACAATTTCTTTCACTCCATCTCCAGAGGTAAACACATCTCAACTGGTATAGCTGAATGAGACCACCTGCCACTTGGTTTGCAAAGGTTCTTAATTTGGGGTAAAATTGTAGCCACCTAAAATGTTCAGATCTAAAAATACAAGTATTCTTTTATAAATCAAGTCTGTTGATCTTAAATCAAATTAACTCTGGTTTATATGTGAAAATAAAATAAAAAACTGATTTATCATGTAGTCTATACACTCCTGGCCCTCAGGTATTGAAAGACTAAGAAAAACTTAGTGAATCAAAGGAAGGAAAGTTTACTGTTACCCCAAAACTTTGTAAACTGCCAGGTTTTCTAGAACTAAACAACAACAACAACAAATCTTTTTTAACCTTTCCATAAAGAACCTTAGAAAACTTGTAATAAAACTAATTTAATATAAAATTAAAATGAGCACTAATATTTCAAGCTTCAGTTTATCCTCTCCGAATGTTCACAGGAAAAAAAAAAAAAGGTGAAAATGCCCTTTTCTTCTCTCCTTAAATCCTCTATTTCATAGTCTTCTGCTGTACGACTGGAAAAATGGAAGAAGGGGAAATTAGTCCCAAGTAATGAAGAGAATCAGTTCCCTGTAATTCCTGACCTCAGGAAATTCTCGGTTTTAATAGTGGTGCAGGTGCTGGACACATTCAGGTAGATCCACATTTTTATCTGGGCTGAACACACCCAAGTAAATCCAAATGACTTAGGAAACTCAGACAGCAGCTGCAAAACGACTCTGAAGACAGCGTGTTCAAGGGCTGCATAAATTATTACATATTGTATCACGTATTTACAACAAACACAAAACATCACATTTAAGAAAAACAATAATATATATTTTTCTAAAAGTCCTAAGTCAAATATTCAACTCTCTCATAGAGATATCTTTAAAATGTTAAAATGAGGTATCTGGTCAATTCCTGTTTAACAAGCATAAGTAATAATGATGGGCCACATTTCCTGAGTCCTTTCTGCAGCCTGGGAGAAAGGCTGGGGTGAGGAACCCGCTCAGCACGCACGGGCTGTGTGCTTTCAGCTTCTGCACTGACACCTTTTTCTAGATGTTCCTGAACATAAGCAGGATATTAATGGGGGCGCTTCATTTTAAGGCCTAATCTGGAGACATTACATTTTTTTAAATGTAGCTCGCAGAATAAGAATTCTGAAACCAATTTTAGTTTGGTTTCAGAATTTACCATCTCCAGGGTGCTTTTCATAAAACGATTTGTTATGGTTTTGTTCAAATGATTACATAGAAACAATCCAAACTATCTATAAAATGTCACTAAGTATCTTAGAAGTCAGAGTGGCCAGCATTTTCCAACAAGTTGTTGAAATTAAATGAAAAGATACAAATTCTCAGTAACACACACGCACACACAAAAATAAATAAATAAAAATTAAAACATCCCACTTAAATCGTGTCAAATAAGCAATATTCAAAGTAGGAACAGGTCTTTAGAAAAGTCACCTTTCAGCAAATGGTTGTACCGCCCTCACCTAAGGGGCCTCTTTATACTCCGTGGACATCCAGGGCAGACCCTGCTTGGGCAGGCACAGTCTAAATGGCCCAGCCTCAAAGCCACAAGGGCAAGCTCAGGCCCCTCAGTCAGCCCTGCTCAGCTGGCTCCTGCCCTCCTGCCCAAGCGGTGGGACCTCTGACCCTCTAGTAATCTCTAACCTGTCTCCGACAAGCCTGACCTTAGCCCCCTATTAAATCTCAAAACCCCACCCTGGCAGCATCCTCAGCACTCCCCTCCAGTCTCCTCTCCAGATAGAGTGAGATGACCTCACTCTATCTGCCCAGTCGGACTAGAACAGGCTTGTAGAGTGTGACTCCTACTGATTCCATGGAACTGATAACATAAGAAGTGAAGGTAAAACATGAACAAAGGAGAGCGTTGCCACCAGAGGGGAAAGGAGACAGTGGTAGAGCTGCTACGGGCAGAGCTGGCTGTGGGGAAAAAGCAAGGAATAAAAATCAACAGCTGGTGCTAAGGAGAGAGTAAAAACAAGGGGAAAAGTTGAGTCAGAGGAGCTGGTGTCAAAGATGAGCACACAGGAGAGACGTGAGTGAACACCGAGCGGAGCCAGGGCGGGGACTCCTGCCCTCACCTCATTTTATGCTCATCATCACCCACAGCCATCGCTCTGTCTGGAGTAGCTATGGCCAGACAGTTTTTATTTCTTTAGTTTCCATCCTCACTCTCCTTCTGGGAAAAACAAATATCTTGGGACCAGTGCTTAAGGGAGTCAATTTCAATGCCCCTTTACCCAGCCTCTTTCTAGCTATTCTTTTTAAGTTTTTTTTTTAAAAATCAATAAGCTCCCTTGTTCCCACCAAAGTTTTTCCAGTTCAACAACCCTAAAAAGTCCTAGTCTCTAAATTTCATATGCTTATTCTTAGATCTAATCAGAACCTCCCCTGAAATATTCTAACACCATTTAACTTTTTTATAAAGCCTGCAGGTAATGCCCAAGCACCTCAGGTCTCAGGCAGGCCAGTGGTGTTCCACTGCGGCTACACTGTACCATCACCTGAAGATCTGCAGCGCCCACACCCAGGCTGCACCCATTCCAATTAAACCAGAAGCTCTGCAGGGGCCCAGGCATCTGTTTTTGTTGTTGTTGTCAATGCTCCCAGTGATTCCAATATGGAGCCAAGTTTGAGAGGGCACAAAAGAAACACAGCCAAGGTGCCCATTCGGAGGAACAGGAACAGCTACACAACCGTGGCTAGCTGCTAGTGATGACTTACCTTGCTTACCACTTTTCAACTGCCCCTTCCCTTAGTAATAAGTGATGTTGCTAGGTTGAAATCATTGGTCCACTGGCTAGTGAGGTCTGGCCCTCAGTGTCTTCCCAGTCACCAACTCTCTCATGCATACAAAGAATACTTACCCCCAGCTCATCTAATTTCCAGTCCAATGGGCACAAAGCCTCGGGGCAACAAAGAAGGCCTTCACTCTAATAAACTGGTTGAAATAAAATTAAATTAAGCCATAAAAGAGAAAAATGCAAAGTCTGGGCCCCAAACTACAATTGAAGGTCTAGCAAAGGGCGGCCAGAGGTCGGAAAGCACACCACCCTTTGTGCTGGGCTGTCACTGCTGGGCTGTCACTGCTGCACCGGGCGGCTTCTGACTCCTTTCAGCTGTCACATTCCTCACAAAGGAGAGAAGGCCAGGGGTCCGGACGTTCCCCCCAGCACACTAATCTCATTCCACCCGACTCAAACTCTGCTCTGGGTCTGCAAAAGTCATCTTTTGTGCTCCCCCAACCAAAGAGGATTTCAGATTCCTGACTTTCATATGAACTGTCTAACTTTCAATAGGGAGGGAATGGTGGACTATGTTTAGGTAGAGTCTGTGCTACAAATGACCATTTTCTTCCAATGCTCATTCGAAAATGAAACCCTTTTTAGGGTTTTAGGAATATTTGGAATTTAAGCTTTTGTTCCTTTAAATGTTTCAAAGAAATAAAACCTATTTTCATTAGGAATAGATGGAAATCATCTTTCTAATGCTAGTACCGAGGATCGAATGGGTCCAAATATGTTAACCAAATGAAAATATTGCTTTCCACAATGGTTGACAATTACCTTAGAGTTCCACTGCCCATAGAGCTCACTGGGAAAAAAGTGAGTAACTTCCCTTGCTCTTTTCAAAACTGTTCAGCCTCATGAATGATGCCTTTGGGATGCTATTTGTAAGAGGTTTTAAGCTGAAGATGGGGGTGAGGGTGGAGGCTAGACACAAAGAAGAGGAGAAAGAAAAGAAGGTTCTAGCTTAAAACTAACCAGGATTCCGGAAAGTCAAAGGGCTAGTCTTGAAGTGGTTCTGCTGATGCCCAATTCAGGCTTACCCTGAATATACTGCATGCTCTTAGCTCACCGCTCACTCTCTCAAATCCATTTTCCCTCATGAAACAACACAAAACATACAGAACATCACACTAGAAAAGCCTCCCCAACACTCACATGCTATAAGAAAACTGCCCTATGTGTTTCCCACATGTGAAACGAATTTCAAACACACACTGCCACTGAGGCATCGTCTGCTGAAACTAACTTCACAGGAGAGCTCCATCAAAGCAGAACTGGGCCCCAAATCACCAACAAGGAAGGACCCTAACATAATTCTTTGGTTGCTGAATTTATTCATGCTATTATAAGACATTTAGAATTGCTTACAGAAAAATAAACTGTTAAATATTTCTTGTTTTATCATTTTGTCAATAAATATATTCTAAATATCAATGTTCATATGAAGGAAGGGTAAGATGTTTAGCTCCTTGAATTAAATAAATACTCTATTAAATTTCCAGTAGTTAACCTATTTGTAGAAAGAACAGCTTCTTCTTATTAATATTGAAACAATCACTACAGGGAAGAAGAGTTTTTGAGAAGCCTGTTAGTGAGAAGTGCTTCTTCCCCGCTTCGCCTGTGAGGGGATCGATGAGTTAACTCTGGGACTCTTCCACTCCTGAGAAGTGCAGGGACTTATCTGATTAGAAAATGGTTCATTCCCGGCCTCCTCCTGCTCAAGGACCAGGCCACCGTGCAGGCAACATGCCACCTGGGCCCAGTAAGTTAAATGGCCTAATCCTGAGACTCTGCTGGCAGGACCATTTGGTTTTCACAACAAGCTGTGGCCTCCAACCTTGCCTCTATCAATAATAAATGATTATGTGGGCCTCTACTTTCACTTTCCTTACGGTTTTTAACTTTTTCAAAGCTTGGGCAGGAAGAGGGTTCTATGAGCATCCCAGAAACCCCAACATCTGTGAATGGGTAACAGTATCAATTTCACTTCCCAAAAGGGCACTTAACCTAACAATGCACCGATGAATACAGCCAAAATTAAAACGTGGCATCAATACCCCACACACACAGGCCTGCAGGCCTGGATGGCAGCCCCCAAACACAAACAATCCAGAGGAAAAGGCACAAGGTGGGGATAGTGAACTGGTAGAGGCCAGGTGACAGCAGCCTCTATGGTGGGACTCAGGGGCCTGAACATCAACCTAAAGAAGTAACAAGATTTGGCCGGGCGCGGTGGCTCACACCTGTAATCCCAGCACTTTGGGAGGCCAAGGTGGGCGGATCACAAGGTCAGGAGATCGAGACCATCCTGGCTAACACGGTGAAACCCCGTCTCTACTAAAAAATACCAAAAAAAAAAAAAAAAATTAGCCGGGCGTGATGGCGGGCGTCTGTAGTCCCAGCTACTCAGGAGGCTGAGGCAGGAGAATGGCATGAACCCAGGAGGCAGAGGTTGCAGTGAGCCGAGTTTGCGCCACTGCACTCCAGCCTGGGCGACAGAGCGAAACTCTGTCTCAAAAAAAAAAAAAAAAAAAAAAAAAAGTAACAAGATTTGATCTGGACTCAGAAGAATCACTCAGGCCCCTACTGTGATCCAGGCAAGAGAGGCTGATCTTGGCCCTGTAGTGACAGTGGAGACCTGAGCAATTTCAGAGGTGGAATCAGAACCCCACACAGGAATTCCTTTTAGACAGGCTGAGTCTGAGGCACCCGAAAGAACACTTCGAAAGTGAAATACACACCTCACTTTTAAAACCTGTTCTCCACATTTTCTTAAAGGAAGGCACACCTGCATGTGAGCCAAGACTGAATGTGAAACTAACAAAAGCTTGCCAATAATTGTGTCCTCATCCTCAGCCTGGCCATGATCTCTTAATTTTCATTATCTGGCTCCCAAAGAGAAGCTTGCTCTGCTTAGTCAATGTTCCTTTTAAAGACAGCCTGTAGGCCAGGCTCTGTGGCTCATGCCTGTAATCCTGACACTTTGGGAGGCCAAGACAGGAGGATTGCTTGAGCCCAGGAGTTTGAGACTAGCCTGGGCAACATAGTGAAACCCTGTCTGTTAAAAAAAAAAAAAAAAAATCAGCCGGGTGTGCTGGTGCGCACCTGTAGTCCCTGCTACTTGGGAAGACAAAGTGGAAGGATTGCTGATTAAGCTGAGGAGTTTGAGAGGCTGCAAGTAAGCGGTGATGGCATCAATGTACTCCAGCTGAGTGACAGAATGAAACCCTCTCTCTAAAAGAAAACCAAAAATGACAGCTTGTAGCTAACTCAAAGACACCTGTTGTCTTTTGATTCATCCATAAAGCATCAGAAATATACAAATAAATTATGCAGTGTCTTAGCCTGTTCAAGCTGCTATAACAAAAATAGCACAAGCTGGGTAGCTTATAAACCAAGAAATTTATTTCTCACAGTTCTGGAGGCTGGAAGTCCAAGATCAGGGCACTAGCACATTCAGGGTCTGGTGAGAGCCCACTTCTCTGATTCACAGAACGTCACCATCTTACATGGGTCTCTTCCTCTCTTGGGCATCTTATAGGGGCATTTATCCAATTCAACAGAGCTCAGGCCTCATGACCTAATCACCTTCCAAAGGCCCCACCTGTCAATACTATCACCTTGGAAGTGAGGATTTTCAACACATGAATTTTGGGGGAATATAAATATTCAGACCAAGCAAGTAGAGACTGGTGAGCAGACTAAGATGAACAAGACAAACAGGCCTCAGCTGCAGCTCAACTCCAGTGAAACAAACCTGTTACGTATGTGACAAACCCTCTACCCCTCAAAAAAAAAAAAAAAAAAAACTTCCAAATCCTGCGATTTTTTAGCCACTGCATTTAAATGTAATTCGACAGCTGCTTTAATGGAGCAATTTCCTTCATAACCCCAAATCCATTCGATTCAATAACATTAGTTCCCTTAGCAAATAATGAGCATCCATTAGGTGAACAGCAACCAGCTCTATGCTTAAACCCTATAAAGTGACAGAATGAGGGCAGGGGTTCTGGATTCAGATTACATATTTAAAAAAACAAACAAACAGTGGTGTCTGATCATCCGGAACACCGCAGCTTCTGCAAATACCACCCACTCTGCCTAGGCCAATAACAGCTTAATGAGTCTGACGGTGGAGCCTAAACCAAAAGCTTGCTCCCAACACCTGTATATTCCCCCACTGTAAGTATACCACTCAGCAAGGCATCCAGGACAGCAAGATGCTGACTGCTCCTCAGCAAAGATCTGCCAGTAAGAACAGTGGCCAAGGGCAAATTTTTATCTGTTGCAGGAAGTTGCATCATCTTCTGTACGCTATCAAATCAAAATGTGTTTCCAATTCCAGGAGAAACCCACCAATCCACAGTGCAGATCCTGTGTGCCCACCCTGTGTGACTCCACAGTAGGAAGCAGCTGTGATGACCTCGAAGTTCTGGTGAGTTTTGGTGAGAGCGGCTACACGGTGGGGTAGAACTACCCTCTAAGATTGGAGATGACCAATCATGCTTCCTACTCCCCTGCTGTAGCCCCGGGCAAAGCTGTGTAAGATACATTTATGCCCACAGCTTCTTAGCAAGACCTGAGCCTCACACTAAGATGACTGCAATCACATACAGCAAGGCCAGAGGACTGCTACAACACAATCTGTCTGCTCTGCAGAAGTGCATGCTCGAAAGTATTCAACAAACCATTTATTAACCACATATCTACCTAGGCATATCCTGTCCAAGAAATGCCTTCCTGAAAGTATGTTACCCAGACCTAACTGATGAAAAATTTAGCAACTAATTTACGAAGGATCAGGAAGTAAAGACTTGGGCTCTGCTTGCCCATCTGCAGGGCTCCTGCCAGAACACGGGCACTAATCCGTTGCCAGAGTTTAGTGCCTTTCTGGAGTGGCACCCTTGGTCCTGAACTGGCTCTGAAGGCAGGACCTTCGGCTTTGCTCAGTGCTTTTTGGGGATGCTTGAGAACTTTATGCTCAGTTCTGGAAGGAGCTATAAACTGATAGCAAGTTTGCTTTTTCAAATGAAGGGGCAGTGTTGGTGACACAGTTAACAAAAAAAAAAATTCTTTTTCATTTCTCTGCTGTGCTATAGTAGCAGAATTAGAAAACACATTCTGAAAACAAGAATTTAAAAATCAACTCTTTTTTTCCAGCTATCCTCCCTAATAAGTTATAGCCAAAATCAATACTCCCCTTTTATTTTTCATCAGGTATTTTTAACTTATTTTAGTTACTTCAAGCTTCCAACAGCTAGAGTACCTCATGTGGACAAAGCCTTACCCGCTGAGAAATGAAAGTTATGAGTGTGAAGGGATGAGGAAACTGGGTTACTAGGGTGACTGAGAATCAAACTGTTGTGTCTGAAACAGGCTTTTTTGTTTGATTTTGCTTTCTGCCCAAGGGTGTCTGTTTATACAACTTCTAAAAAAGATAATAACCTAAATTAAGGAGCGTGCCTGTTGGATGACATAATGTGGTTTACTGTGATCTAGCTGGGGAACAATGGTCACCATGCACCTTACTTCTGAAGTGGGTAGGACGCTCAGCCGGAGTGTGCTCCACCCCCTGCCCCTCAGCACTCAGTTCCAGAGCAGAAGGTGGCAGTTGCTCCAGGAAAACTCATGGAAGCCACTCATATGGAAGCCTCAGGGCACATAGGTGACAGCCAGGCAGCCTACACAGCAATGTCACCCCTGTCCTACAAAATGGGTTGTAGAATAACTGATAAAATCATGCAAGCTGCTATAAACAGTTACTGTGTCACGACAAAAATACTTTCACTCTTCCCAAAGGTAGAATGACAGTCCCTGTTTCCTGTGGCCAGTGGTGTCTCAAGTAAACCTATAGGCAAGAGCAGGCACCAACAACAGCCCCGATGGTATCCCCTAGAGGAGAGCAAGGGACCAGCCAGGGAGGATATGCCAAGTTAGACTAGTGAGGTGGCCTATTCACTCAGCCCCCAGGCTGGGCCCTGGGACACAGGCAAGATGAAGACTGCCTCATCCTACAGTTGCAGTAGTCCAACAGAGACATTCAACTTTAGGGACTCAAAAAGCCTATGTGCCCAGTTCAAGGAGAGCTAATAGCTAACACCTATGTTGCCCAGGCTAGTCTCAATCTCCTGGGCCCAAGCAATCCTCCTACAGAATCAATTTTGAGACCCTCACCTTCCCTATGTAACTCTTTCTGAAAACAGACGGGCATTCCTGTCTTTGCAACAGCTCCACTCTCCCTGAAATCTTACTATGGGGCATTCTTCCAAAGTTTAAAACACCTCAGGGCACCAAACAAAGGATAACTCAAAACACTGATCATCAAGATGTCTTCTTTGATGATTAATTATAGCCCATGGTCCCTTGAATCCATATGGCTTCCAGTTTTTATGTGTCTTCAACACATTTCTGTTATGGGTGAAATTTGGCCCATTTGGGGATGTTCTGGATTCAGAAAAACTGAAGACATACAGGTTTAATGGCATAGATGCTCTTAAATGTTTCTGAAATTCCACACCCCCAACACACCAAACGCCAAAATGTTCAAGCCAAGTTACAGAAATGTCAAAGGTAACAATTTTACTTGTATTCTTTACAGTACATTTTTCAACCAGGTAGATAAAATCAATTATCTCAAATTCTATTGTAAAAGGTATATCAAACTAAGTCAATCTTCATATTATTTTCATCTCATAATATGTTTAACAATTCCTACTTGCTATTAACAAAAACATACTATTATTTATGATTTAAAATATGGGATGTCACCTTACAAGCATGTGAAGGAGTATATGTTTTTTAAAAATTATTTCAGAGGGTGCAAAGACAAAAACCTTTGAAGACCATGCCCTTGAGAAAAGCCCTCGCATGGAGAAGGTGGCCTAGTAAACAAATGCTACAAGGCAAGGAGGGGAAGTCACTACCAGAGAGAAAGTGCAGGCAAGACTGAAGACAAGGAGGTGGGCATTCCAAGCAACAAGAAGAGCTTGTGCACAGGCAGAGAAGCAGCAAAGCCAACCTGGATGAGAGGTGAGGGGCAGGAGCCTCTGAGTCTAGAGACCAAGGAGAGTGGTGTGGGAGGAGAGGGGAGGCTCTGAGGACCTACAGTCCATGCTGAGGGGTGCAGATTTTACTCAAGCACCCTCAGAAGGTTTTTTGTTTTGTTTTGTTTATTTAAGATGGAGTCTCACTCTGTTGCCCAAGCTGGAGTGCAGTAGTGCGATCCTGGCTCACTGCAACCTCTGCCTCCCAGGTTCAAGCTATTCTCTGCCTCAGCCTCCAGAGTAGCTGGGATTACAGGTGCACGCCACCATGCCCAGCAGATTTTTGTATTATTAGTAGAGATGGGGTTTCACCATCTTGGCCAGGCTGGTCTTGAACTCCTGACCTCGTGATCCACCCACCTCGGCCTCCCAAAGTGCTGGGACTACGGGCGTGAGCCACTGCCTCTGGCCACCCTCAGAAGGTTATTTAAGCAGGGAAGGCTCATAACTAGATGACTGTTTCCACGCAGAAAATGCTGGCAGCAATATGAAGGATGAAATGGGCAGAGTAGACAACTGGAGACGGAGAGATGAGCTAGACAGCGGTATCTACAGAAACTTCTGCAGTGATGAAAATGTTACTCCTGCAATGCCCAGTATGGCAGCTACATGGGGCCGTTGAGCACCTGAAAGGTAGCTAGTGAGAATGAGGAACTGAATTTTTATTTTTATTTAATTTTAGTTAACCTAAATTTAAATGGCCTCATGCAGTTGGTGGCTACCATATTGAACACACCAGCTAGAAAGCTATTTCAAAATTCAATGAAGGATGACATGTCCTAAGTAAGGCAGGAGCAGGGGGGATAAAAAAGACAGATTCGAAGGCATTTCTGATGCAGAATTAGCGGATGCTGGTGACCAACCAGACACGTGGTATAAGGATTGAGTTAGGGAGGACAACAAGCTTCGTCTAACTGGGCGTCCTATGTTGACAGTGACAGCACATACTAAGACAAAGAACAGAGTGCAACAGAGATCTGGGGGGAAGACAACAGATCCGGAAAGGATTTATTTACTGTGAAATGTATTGAGAAGATCCAAGGAAGACGACTAGGGACAGCTGGAGAAAGGCCAGACAGGTAAAGATCTGGAGGTCTCCTTCCAGAGGCTGTGAAAGATGCCACTTAGGGAGGTGTGATCGATCATGCAAAGTGACAATAAGATCATGAGACCCCAGTGTTTAAAAGGCATTGAGAGGTGGAGAGGCCAGCAAGGGTAGAAGAAAAACGACCAGGGGAGGGAGGAGAACGAGGCGCAGAGGTAAACGTTTGAACAGCAGGGTGTCACTCAGGGTCAAGAGGAGCGGAAAGCAACAGAGGATGCGGCCTGAGGACAAGCCGTAGGATTGGCAATACCAGGACCCACAGAGCCGGGAGGGAAGGCCAGATGACGAAAGCCATGGGTGGAAGACAAGACTGGGGCAGCACCAGCAGGGTTCAGAGGTGTGGGAGAGCTGGGGGATGGTTAGGATCACAGCAGCGAGGTCATGGAAACCCACCTCTCCTTCCAGGCCCTGCCATCCACTGATGCAGGTGACCATTAGATCCACATGGGGCACTCAGGCCCTGCTCTAACACCAGCCACATCATTATACCCCAAGTCTTTACTGAGACCATTTCTTCTAGGCCCCAATAGAAACTATCAGAAAAGTTCAAGTTACCTATTTTTGACGACTAAGTAAAAGGGTACCCAGCAGAAAGAGACCTTCTGAAATACAGAAGTGAAGCGAGCAGGGAATTTCACAGAAGTGGACATCATATTTACTAAATCCACAATCAGACTATGCTTTTTAAGACCTGCTGAATGGCATTTTTCAAACAAATCAACCTGATTCCACCACAGGGATTAATTACATCAAGCAGAAGGATACAACGCATCCACAGACTCTTGCTTATCAGTTTAAGAATCTTCAAAAGATTCCAGCACGTGGTAAAGCATAAGGGAACTTCCCCTGTGAGAATCTACACCAACTCCCTTCAAATCAACTTTGTTTTGACTCACTATCACTAATGAGAAGAATATTCATCATTGAATACAATTTTTGTATTTTGACTTTAAAAACCTCTTCGTTCACTAAAATTCACTCCACTTTTATAGTCTGTTGTATTCATTTCCTTTCCAGCCGCCTCCTCTCACTCTGCTCCAGTGTAGGCAGACAAGTTATTTAACACATACCAGATGTTCAATAACGCAGAAAAGTAACTATAGTTTACTGTGCACCTACTATGTGCCAGGCACTTGACAAAGCACTTTCACAAGCATTATCAGAATCTCACAACAATCTTTCACAATAGATACTCTAATCCCCATTTCAAGATGTGAGAATCAAGGCTCAACTTGCCCAAGGTGGTGTATCTGTTTGGGTTTTGTTTTGGTTTGGTTTGGTTTTTTTGAGACAGAGTGATGTGGCTTGGATCTGTGTCCCCACCCAAATCTCATGTTGAATTGTAATCACCAATGTTGGAGGTGAGGCCTGGTGGGAGAGACTGGATCATGGGGGTAGTTTCTAATGGTTTAGCACCAGCCTCCTAGTACTATCTCATGATGGAGTTCTCAGGAGATGTTTGTTTAAATGTGTGTGGCACATAACCCCTCTCCTCTCTTCCTCCTGTGTGGGCCATATAAGACCTGTCTGTTTCCACTTCATCTTCCGCCATGATTATAAGTTTCCTGAGGCCTCCCCAGAAGCCAAGGAGATGGCCAGCATCATGCTTCCCGTGCAGCCTGCAGAACCGTGAGCCAATTAAACCTCTTTTCCTTATAAATTACCCAGTCTCAGGTATTTCTTTATAGCAATGCAAGAACTGACTTAATATACAGGGTCTTGCTCTGTCTCCCTGGCTGGAGTGCAGTGGCTCAATCATGGCTCACTGCAGTCTTGACCTCCTGGGCTCAAGTGATTCTCCCACCTCAGTCTCCTGAGTAGCTAGGACTATAGGCATACATCACCACACCCAGCTAATTTTTGTATCTTTTTGTACAGACGGGGTTTCTCCATGTTGCCCAGTCTGGTGTCAAACTCCTGGGCTCAAATGATCCACCTTCCTTGGCCTCCCAAAGTGCCAGGAGTATTACATGTGTGAGCCACTGTGCCCAGCCACCCAAGGTAGTACAGACTTCAGGTTCAAACCATGGAATATCACAGTGAACAAACCATGGTAGGTGTTCAAAAGACACTGAATAGAAGTTACTCCCAGCTGGGTGTGGTGGCTCACGCCTGTAATTCCAGAACTTTGGGAGGCCGAAACGGATGGATCACCTGCGGTCAGGAATTCAACACAAGCCTGGCCAACACGGTGAAACTCTGTCTCTACTAAAAATACAAAATTAGCCGGGCATGGTGGCGGGTGCCTGTAATCCCAGCTACTTGGGAGGTTGAGGCAGGAGAATCGCTTGAACCTGGGAGGCGGAGGTTGCAGTGAGCCAAGATCGCGCCACTGCACTCCAGCCTGGGCGACAGAGCGAGATTCTGTCTTAAAAACAAAACAAAACAAAACAAAACAAAAAACAAAAAAATAAGGTACTCCAAGCCTCACATTCATTCCACTAAAATTATACTGGCTTGTGAAATACAATTTTTACATTAAGATAAAAATAAAAAATACAGGATTTCTGATTCTCCAACAATATGATAGGACTTCTTACACACATCACACATACGTGCACTGCCTGTGCCACAGTCAGACACAGTTGCTGCTTTCTGATCCATCAGACAATGCTGTAGCACACACAGCACATTCTAACCACATATTCATATCAGTGTCTCAGACACATGATGCTACTGAGTTCAAGAAATTTCAAGTACATTAACAACAAATATATATTATAGGCATCTTTTGTAACAGCAAGAGAAAGGACCTCATAATCTATTAATACTTTTCATCTACTATCATTACAATTTGATAGATACTAAAAATTGACTTCAGAGTTGCTATTCAAACATAATTCTTAAAACATGCTTTCATAAGTCATGTAGACTAATTCACAAAGAGACAATTAGCCTTTGACACTGCACTTAATTTAATAAGCCATTTCAGAATTTTAATAGAAGCATTAACAGGCGTGAAAGAGGAATGAACTTTTTTTTGAGACCTCATAACTTACAAATTAGCTAATTTTTATTTTTAACATAAATGTCAAAAAGCATAGTACCAAAGGGCCGGCAATTATACTGCTAAAAAGACATAGAAGTTATCTGGGTCAAGGTATCTCTGCTTTCAGAAATAAGCCGAGAGCTTTAACGGTATTTTTAAAGTAAATGCCAAAATCTCTAACTTAATGTTTAGTAGCAATGCGGAAAAATATTCTCATTGTCAAGGAGAGGTACTTGTGATAATTAAATAAAATAATGTAGGTATATAAAGCAAGTCATTCTGGGCCTTACCAATGAATTATATTATTCATTTATTATATATACTATATAATTTATAATATATTATTAATACTAAAAAAGATCCTGAAACTAATTTCAATGCCTTTAAATTATACATATATATGTATTTCTTCCTATGTAATAAGTTTAAATGAAAGAAAGTTGTCAGAAGGTTAAAAAATATAATGCTTAAACTGACATATAAGACCAGCAAATAATTTTCAAAGCATACGTGAAACTAAACTTAGATGTTAGGGGCTTTTACAATAAAGAACATGTACCAAAAACATATCTATTACATCTATATCTAATAAACATTTGCTAATTACTTGTCTTGAAAATTTCTGTTAAGTAGAGTCTAGTAAATATTTGCTAATTACTTGCCTTGAAAACTTCTGTTAAATACAATTAAAAGAAAATAAATCCAAACTATATTGAATCAGGAAACTGTTTTGAGACAGACTAATTATTTTTTAAAGATTACATATAATTCAGTCATTCAAATATTTTAACAGCATGTTTTTTCCTATTATAAAATTAATATGTTCATTTTAGAAAAGCTGGAAAACAAATGCAAAAAGAAAATGATAATTACACATAACACAACCACAAGTAATAACCATTGTAAATTTTTTAATGTATCCCTGTTCCATTAATGCATATGCATATTTAATATACTGCTTACCAAGAAAATGTTTTCATTTAATATTATGTGAACATTTTCCCATGTCATTAAATAGCCTTATAAAACAAGATATTTAATTGATTTAAATTACTTGATCATATGCAGTATCATAATTGAATATCTTACTATCAAATTTTTTCCAATTTTTAATGTAATAACAAATATTACATTGGGTATCCTTATACATAAATCTTTTAGACCACTTGTGATTATTTCGTGGGGTAAATTGCCCATCCCAAATCCCCATAAAATTAACTTTCTATGTTATGAAAAGTTGCACAGAGCTTAACCAAGAAGACAAGGAACGCCATGCTTGGAGCACTCAGCATTAACGAAAACTGTCCCCACTTCTCCTCGTATTTATTAATCTTTCCGCCAGTGCCATGGAAGAGAAGGGCTGCTTTGTTCAAAGTCTTCAGGCACACAGGTAGGGTTACATGGTGATGTTCCCATCTGCACTTATTTCCCATATTTCACCTCTTTTTTAAAAAAAAAAAAACGCCGGGCACAGTATCTCATGCCTGTAATCCCAGCACTTTGGGAGGCAGAGGCAGGCGGATCACCTTAGGTCAGGAGTTTGAAACCAGCCTGACCAACACGGAGAAACCCTGTTTCTACTAAAAATACAAAATTAGCTGGGCGGGGTAGCGCATGCCTGTAATCCCAGCTACTCGGGAGGCTGAGGCAGGAAAATCACTCGAACTGGGGAGGCGGAGGTTGCGGTGAGCCGAGATCGCACTCCAGCCTGGGCAACAAGAGCGAAACTCCATCTCAAAAAAAAAAAAAAAAAAAAAACGAGTCTTACTCTGTCACCCAGGTTGGAGTGCAGTGGCGCAATCTCAGCTCACCACAACTTCCACCTCCAGACTTAAGCGACTCTCATGCCTCAGCCTCCTGAGTAGCTGGAAATACAGGCATACATCACCACACCCCACTAATTTTTTTGTATTTTTAGTAGAGACAGGGTTTCACCATGGTGGTCAGGCTGGTCTCGAACTCCTGACTTCAAGTGATCTGCCCGCCTCAACCTCCCAAAGTACTGGGATCACAGGCATGAGCCACTGCACCCAACCCCATATTTCACCTCTTGAGAGGAATGGGCAGATAATCTTTTAGGGATAGCTTCTCACAAGGGTTCAAATATCCAGTGAGGGACTGCTGCAGAGGAAAGACCACCTGCAAATGCAGTAACAACTCTCAAATAATAGAAAACAAATTAATGGGTTGGAATCAAGAGGTTGGTGCCCTCTTTTCAATGCTGTCTCTTCCTCTACCCTCTGAGTACAAGCTCAGACATTAACATGGTCCTCCTCTCTCATTAAAATAAAAAATTATTTTAGCATTTTGGTGTTGCCAAGTTACTCGAGTTACTAAAGATGTTTCTCTGCGTGCTGCACACCCATATCTCTGCATATATTACAAACACGAGGAGATCCATGCACAGTAGAAGACTGATAAGCACTCCAACTAAGGTAGAGGCACATGGGCGAGAAATACACCACAGAGGAAACCACATACAGTGGCCAAGCAAGTGCCAGGCAGGTTCACCTACCTGGGACTGTAAGATTCCATTACTCCATCTTCAACTCACAGCCCCAAAATAAATCTTCCAAAGGGTTCACAATCTAGCTACTTACTCACAATAGGCCGGTCTTCTTAAAGTCAAACACGTATCTAATATTAACCGACATCCCCTCCTTTAGAAAAGAATTAGCTGTGAAAAAAGAAAAAAAAAAAGTAACCTCTTTTCTAATAGTTTGTTTTCCACAATTTAATTTTGTCTCTCTAAAAGGTAATTTGGGATAATCACCCACATCGAACTAGCCATAAACCAGTTTGGATGTTGTTGAACTTGTATGGTGAGTCACATGACTAATTAAGATCATTAGGATGGTGTTAAAACAGTGATGTTTTATAGTTAGTTGTCAACTTTAATACAAAAGTATACAAAATCCAGAATCCGTTTTGTTCATCAAATTAACTATTACTTAATAAAATAAACGGTTGGACCTAATCACCAATGACAGATCAAAGATAAATTTTGAAATTTATCATTTGCTTACTTTCTGGGTAAAAGTTTAAAATGAATATGCTGAAATTGCTTCACAATTTCTTCTTCCATTTCCATCAACATACTTCTCTGTGAAAGGGTGTCTCTATTATGCATATTATTAAAACAAAACAGAGAAACCATTGAGATACACATTATCCCCTAAAATAGTGTTATCAATCCAAACCTGAGTAGATAAATTATCAAGCAAGAACGAAGCAAGCGGCTGGGCATAGTGGCTCACACCTGTAATCTCAGCATTTTGGGAGGCCGAGCTGGGCAGATCACAGGGTCAGGAGTTTGAGACCAGCCTGGCCAACATAGTGAAACCCTGTCTCTACTAAAAATACAAAAAATTAGCTGGGTGTGGTGGTGGGTGCCTGTAATCCCAGCTACCTGGGAGGCTGAGGCAGGAGAATCACTTGTACCTGGGAGGCGGAGCTTGCAGTGAGCCAAGATCGCACCACTGCACTCCAGCCCAGGCGACAGTGCGAGACTCCATCTCAAAAAAAAAAAAAAAAGAAAAAGAAAAAAGAAAAAAAAGGAAGCAAACTCAGTTATCAAATTAAAATCTTAAAATAATGATATGCATGATGTCTGTTCAAAATCTGTTATTAGCATTTAAAATGGAGACCCGATCTCTCACTTGTAACTTTAGTTATAATTGCAGAACAAAGTTATGAGAGTAACTGTGACTCACTTTATTCATCTCTGATATGCACATTTTCATGGAACAAATGTAATTCTTTAACAATGTTTTTCTTTTTTCCTATGTTTATTGTGATTATATTTAAAGAAATGGAAGTTTACGTCTGTTAAATCTAACAATAAAAATTGAGGTTTTAAAATGTTGTACTGTATATCTCTTCATGTTTTTTTAATAATGAATATTATTTATATTCTCAGAAGTACCAATCTGTGAGGGATTGGAAATTAAGGACACTTGAGTTCCTTCAGTTCTCTGCCACAGAGAAGGGCTGTGCTAGGTGATGTGGATGGGAACAAGTCACTGGTTGAGACCTGGACTCACTTGGAGAAACTGCCTCTGCTGATGGAAGGCCATGGTGAGGGCCCCACCAGCACTGGGCTGGACGCCAGGTTTCCAGGGCTAAAGCAAGACACAAAAACTCGGTGCTATGGAAGATGTAAAGAGGGAAATGTGCCTTACTTATTTATGTAGTGTCTAAAAATAAAATACATACAAAATTCTAAGAGATCTTGATAAACAGCAAAATATTTGTATGTTCGTCAGTTTGTCTCCAAGTCTTAAAAACTAGTAATCAGGCAAACAAGCAACCCCCTCCACATACACACATCAGCAATGACGAACTCAGGCACCTGGGCCTGACACTAGGCCGCCAGAAGAGCTCAGAGTTCAGCCTTTCTCAGTGTGGAGTGGCACCGTGTCATCTGTTCCCAAGTTGGAACTCATCAGAGGCCAGCACAGGCCTGACAGCAAGTGAAGGAGAATAAGGGTAATTAAATGGGGAGGAACACCTTAGTTCAGGTAGGGCTTTAACTCACATTTCTAAAATGAGCTTAAAAAAAGTAAAATAAAAACTCTATTTATACTAACAATAGGCCTGAAACCCAGAGGGCTACCAACGCTCTCTGACTGATATGGTTTGGCTCTGTGTCTCCATCCAAATCTCCTCTTGAATTGTACTCCCATAATTCCCAGGTGTTGTGGGAGGGACCCAGTGGGAGATAGTTTGAATCATGGGGCGGCTTCCCCCATCCTGTTCTTGTGGTAGTGAGTAAGTCTCACAAGATCTGATGGTTTTATCAGGGGTTCCGCTTTTGCATCTTCCTCATTTTCTCCTGCCTCTGCCATGTAAGAACTGCCTTTTGCCTCCCGCCATGATTCTGAGGCCTCCCCAGCCATGTGGAACTCCAGTTAAACCATTTTTTCTTCCCAGTCTCAAATATATCTTTATCAGCAGCGTGAAAATGGATTAATACAGTAAATTGGTACCAGTAGAGTGGGGCGTTGCTGAAAAGACACCTGAAAATGTGGGAGCGACTTTGCTGACTGTTACTTTAGTAGGTAACAGGCAGAAGTTGGAACAGTTTGGAGGGCTCAGAAGAGAGAAAAATGTGGGAAAGTTTGGAACTTGCCTGAGACTCGTTGAATGGCTTTGACCAAAAGCCTGATAGTGATATGAACAATAAGGTCCAGGCTGAAGCGATCTCAAAGGAAGATGAGGAACTTGGGAACTGGAGCAAAGGTGACTCCTGTTATGTTTCAGCAAAGAGACTAGTGGCATTTTACCCTTGCCCTAGAGATTTGTGGAACTTTGAACTTCAGACAGAGAATTTAGGGTATCCGGCAGAAGAAATTTCTAAGCAGCAAAGCATTCAAGAGGTGACTTAGGTGCTGTTAACGGCATTCAGTTTTATAAGGAAAGCAGATCATAAAAGTTCAAAAAATTTGCAGCCGGACAATGTGACAGAAAAGAAATCCTATTTTCTGAGGAGAAATCCAAGCCACCTGAAGAAATGTGCATAAATAATGAGGAGCCAACTGTTATCCCCAAGACAATGGGGAAAATGTCTCCAGGGCATATCAGAGGCCTTCCCAGCAGCCCCTCCCATCACAGGCCCAGAAACCTAGGAGAAAATGGTTTCATGGGCCAGGCCCAGGGTTCCTGTGCCGTGTGCAGCTTACAGACTTGGTGCCCTGTGTCCCTGTCACTCCAGCCGTGACTGAAAGGGGTCAGCGTTGAGCTGGGGCCCTGGCTTCGGAGGGGACAAGCCTCAAGCCTTGGCAGCTTCCACATGGTGTCGAGCTCACGAGTGCACAGAAGTCAAGAACTGAGGTTTGGGAACCTCAGCCTAGATTTCGCAGGATGTATGCAAATACCTGGATAACCAGGCAGAAGTTTGCTGTAGGGGCAGGCACTCATGGAGAAACTCTGCTAGGGCAGTGTAAAAGGGAAATGTGTGGTGGAGTCCCCACACAGAGTCCCTACTGGGGCACTGCCTAGTGGAGCTGTGAGAAGAGGGCCACTGTCCTCCAGACCCCAGAATGGTAGATCCACCAACAGCTTGCACCGTTCGCCTGGAAAAGCTGCAGACACTCAATGCCAGCCCATGAAAGCAGCTGGGAGGGAGGCTGTACCCTGCAAAGCCACAGAGGTGGAGCTGCCCAAGACCATGGGAACCCACCTCTTGCATCAGCATGACCTGGATGTGAGACCTGGAGTCAAAGGAGATCATTTTGGAGTTTTAACATTTGACTGCCCCGCTGAATTTCAGACTTGCATGGGCCCTGTAACCCCTTTGTTTTGGTCAGTTTCTCCCATTTGGAAGAGCTGTATTTACTCATACCTATATCCCCATTGTATCTAAGAAGTAATTGGCTTGCTTTTGATTTCACAGGCTCATAGGTGGAAGGAACTTGTATTGTCTCAGATGAGACTTTGGACTGTTAACTTTTGGGTTACTGCTGAAATGAGTAGACATTGGGGGACTGTTGGGAAGGCATGATTGGTTTTGAAACGTCAGGACATGAGATTTGGAGAGGCCAGAGGTGCAATGATATGGTTTAGTTCTGTGTCCTCACCCAAATCTTATCTTGAATTGTACTCCCATAATTCCTACACGTTGTGGGAGGGAGGGACCTGGTGGAAGATAGTTTGAATCATGGGGGCAGTTTCCCCCATACTGTTCTCGTGGTACTGAATAAGTCTCACGAGATCTGATGGTTTTCATCAAGTGTTTCCGCTTTTACATCTTCCTCATTTTCCCTTGCTGCTGCCATGTAAGAAATGCCTTTCACCTCCTGCCATGATTCTGAGGCCTCCGCAGCCATGTGAAACTGTAAGTCCAATTAAACCTCTTTTTCTTGCCAGTCTCGGGTATGTCTTTTATCAGCAGCACGAAAACAGACTAATACACTGACCTTCAGCTTATTCGTCACCTCTTCATTTTGAGTAGGTGGAAAAGTGAGCAGTACTTTTTCAATGGACTTCACAATGTCTCTACCCAGAAAGATGTAACTTAAAATATTAGTGTTTTCACAAGACCCTTTATACTGACTTTTTAGAAGGCATCCTGGTGGTAAAGCTGTACAAAGGCCCAGGCAAGAAGGAAAACACAAAGTTACAGGTGGTCTTTAGCAAACCACCCACTTTTATTATGGAGTCAAGGGAACCTTCTCCAGGTGTTAACAGCATTCTATACATTCTCTGAAGGTATCCAACACGGAACTGTCTTCCAGCAATTCTGGAAGTTACTAGGAATCTAAACACTTAGAAGAATAGAGCAAGGATTAAAAGCTGTGAACAAAATACAGATACCACCATAAAGACAAGATTAGAAGGATCCAGTTTTTAGAAGCTTCCAATTAAGTTAAAATTCAAGAACAAAATTTATGTGTGTGCGTGTGTGTGTATAATGCCAAAAATGTTGTAATGTAGGTCAAATTAGTTCATCTCAATTTAGGGAGCACAGAATATGACCTTTCAGGTGCTATGTGCTTTCTAACCCACAGAACACACCCAGTATCTGAGCAACAGGAAGCTAGGATGGGTTTGAACACAAAAATGTAAGAATCGCCCACAGGATTTGAAGCAGAGTCCAGCAAGTCTTTATTCCGAGTCCAACAATAACAGAACACTTAGCAGGAGGGCATTGTGCAGAAACCACTTATCTGAGGATTATTAGTATATTTGCAATTTCTTTGGCATCTCCTCCCACTCTTCCCACAAAGACATGAACTCTGAGAAACCTTCACCCTCCTGTAGAAGGCTTCCCTTTTTCCTCCAAAATCCCCAACCAACAGACTACACTAACTTACTGTCATGAAAAGCATAGGCTCACACTCCACACAGGGATTGCCAGATACTTCGTGTAACAGCGTAAGAAGAGAAAGATAAAGGGTTTTGGCTGATGGAATAACTCATTATTCCATCAGCCAAGGCCTGTGTAAATGTTTACCCATTAATGGAAAGTCAAAGCACACACATCTTAGAGGCATGTTAATGTAGGATTTCATCAGGCACCATAAATCAGCAGGCCAGTTTTCCTCACACACAAGTTTCGTACTTCAGTTCAGATAGAGTAGAAACACCATCCTCAGAATTTATATACATTTGATCTAACTGATTAAGTTCCACACTGCTCTTTTGTTCACTATAAACAAAAAGATGTAAAAAGAATTCCCAAACTGCCACAGCATGAATTGAAAACATACCATCTGCAGCTGCTTAGCCGCAGCTACTGCCCCCAAATCAAATGAAAGGCTCAAGAAATGCTCAGCTGTGTTCTTATTGCTCGGGAGGTTCCCGGAATCCTTCCATGATTAAGTTATTGGCAAAAATTAGCAATATATGCATAGCCCATCTATAATACACCTCGAGCAGACAGCAGCATTCAAAAGGAAAGGAATGCAACTTTCGAATTATCAAAATGCCATGATGCTCCTGTTAAAAACCATTTAGCCTTTCCATCTTACAAAAATTTGAAATGTCATTTATTTTAACCAAGAGTTTTCTGCCTCTTTTTCTAATTTGATAGTGGAAAGTGACAAATGCATCCTTATCACTAAGTTTTCATTCTTTTGCATGTCTTCATTCAAGAACATGAACACTCCAATCTCTAGGAGAAAATTCCAGTCCAAAGCTGGATATAATCCCTTAACTTAGAGCAAACAAGTGTAAGCCTCTACTCTCAAAACATTCTGAGAGGAATAAGCTCATGTTCATAGTACACTGTGGATGTTATGAGGTGACCCTCTGGAAAGAATATTTATGTCTGGTATCATCAGAATTACTGCTACACATCCTTGGAAACCACAAGATAACTCTAGAGACACAAAACTCAAGAGCCCAAGAATGGTGGCCACACTCCATCTCCTGCCCCTGACACCATGGTGCACTGACCACAGCACTTGCTGCCCTTGAGCTTGGACACAGGCTCGGAATCTACTCCACACGGTCTCCAAAGTGGCCACTAAAATCGATCAGAATCGTCACTTCAAGAGTTTTTCAAGGTGCTAGCCAGCAGTCTGCTGAAGGTCCTTTCAGGCTAAAGCAGCACAACGTGAGCTCATTAGAGAAGGAGAAAATCACACACACAACTGCTTCCTTACTATTTGCCCCGACCCCATCCCAGCTCCTCAGAGTATGAGATGGCCCCTGGACTCCAGTGGAACTTCCTCTGAATCACAGGAAAGCCAGAGGGCCCTGCAGTCATTCGAAAGGTTTTTGCTCCCAAGAAACCCTCTGGCTCCTGAATAAGTGATTACCATTATTCCATTCATCAAGTGTCTCTTAAGCCTTCTATTATGAGTCTGAATTTTAAACAGGGACTAGGTCTTTTATTACATCCCCTGATCCATGTCTCCAGTAACATTTCTTTCGAAGTTATAGAATCTGTCAACAATCTAATTATTAGACTTTACCCTCCCTTCCTCCACCCAGAACTAAACTACTTCCAATGAGGGGGGGCAGGGAGGACTCTATCTTGAGAAATATTATTAGAAAATCTACTGTATTTCCAGAATAAGAGCACCACAAGGGCAACACCCTGTCTGCCTTACTCACCACCATAACCTGAGTCCCTAGAACTGTGTCTGGTAAAAAAAGAACATGTAATAAATAGCTGACGAATGAATACATCTGAGCACCAGCTATACGATAGGCAGCTTTTCTCGATAAATCCTCTCCATAATACTATGACACAGACTGAATTTTTTGCACTTACAGGTTCAGAAATGGGGACTTTTAGAGAGGAAGCCGCTGACTGACATACAGGCCCCATAGCCATGGAGATGGCCCCTCAGTCTTAGCCCATGTCTGATCTATCCAAAATGTGTTCTGCATCTTGGGAGTACAGTATAGCAAAAAGAGCTCAAGATCACAAGGACTTTTATCCTACAGTAGAGAGGAATACTAACTAGGGAAGCCCCCAACACAAGAGTTCTAACATCCAGCATCACACAAAGCATCATAAAACCCGCTGGGCAAAGCAGAACCAAACAATTGGCAATGCTAATTCCACAAGACTAGAACAGAAGCCCAGGGATAACCAGCTACACGACATTCCCTAGCATCCCCTGAAATTAGGTCAGGTCATAGTAAGAGCTCCAGAAGAATGAGAGTGGAAGGGATGGAGGAGACCCTTCTGGGCCAGCCCTTTAGGTGATGCACACCTGGGTGCCCCTTCCACCTCAACAAGCCTCAGCGCAGACCACTCAGGGCAATGCAGTGAGGCTGGGCCCTATGGTGGCAGACACAGATGGAAGGAACCTGAATCCACACGTGTCAGGTGGAGGAGAGCAGCCTACCTGTCCGGACTTTGGGCTGTCACCCTAGAAAGAAATCAGCTTTTCCACTGCCAGAGCATTTTGTAGTGTCTCTTAGAGCAGGCAGAGCTACCTTAACCAATACAGCCCTAAGGAAAAGTCTTCCCACCTTGATGGCACATTCCACATGCAAAACCACCATTAACCCGGTACAGCTGATGAAAACGTTTTAGTACTTTCATTTATGTTTGGAGAGGTTTAGCAACTCAGAACTTCAGTAGTAGAAGAAATAGAAAAGCGGGTGGTTAACTAAGTCTAGAATTTTATTTTTAGGTCAACTAGGTTTTCATTTTGCCAGCCAGTTCTCTTCAGCATAAGTGATTGAAAATCTGTATTTTTTCAGGGCTAATTGATTAGTCTCCTTCACATATTATCATAAAACTGAACTCAGGAAATTTTTTTAGTTTTAATAATTGTTGCATTTGAAATAATTGGAAATAATTTGAATTAATTAGAAATAATTCCTCAGTTTTGCAAAGATAAACAGATTTATTTCCATTCACCTAAAATTTTCTAAGTATCAGATACAAATAAACCAGTAATATGTCAGGATCCATCTCTTCAGAAGCAAAGTTGCTCAGCTCAATGCTGTGAGCTGGCCTGAGCCAGGCCCGCAGCAAGTGTCAGCCAACTAACAAAAGAAGCACCTCATCTCCAGAATGAATGGGTGGGATGTAAGATGAGACCCAGTGGGGAAACTGCCAAATCAGATAGGAAAATCACACCCCTGTAAGGAAAAGGGAAGTTGAGATGTGACTGAAGATAAATACATAAATATCTGACAGAAATTGCTCCTAAAATCATCTGACAAATGGATATGACCTCTGAAAAGGTCATGTGATCAAGATGAAGGCAAAGAAAACCCAGTGTGGTCATATAAAGTATACAACAAAGTAAAAATAAATAAATTATGCTGAATTTTGAAAGCAGCTTTATACACAAGAGTGCATACTGCATGATTCCATTTACATCACATGCAAGAACATGCAAAACTTATCAATGGCCCTAAAAAAAAAAGGAACAAAGGTTGCCTCAGATAAAGGTGGGAAACAAAAAGAGTAAGTTGACCGGGCAGGGACATCAGAGAACTTTCAGAAGTGGGAGAAACATTTCACATCCTAATAGAAGTATGGGCCATATGGGTGTATGCATTTATCAAAACTCCCAGAATGATACACTTAAGATTTGTGCATTTCACTCTATACCTTTTACTTCAAAAAATGTAAAACTTTTTAACTCGTTTACAATATACATGCCGAAGTGTTTAGTGATAAAAGTGTAAAAAGTGTGCAACTTACTCTGAAATGCATCCAAAAAATAAAATGGATTGATGGATGGGTAGAAGACGGAGAGACATCTATAAAGCAAATAAAGCCAGACCTAACAACTGTGGGATCCAGGAGGTGGGTACAGAGGTGTCCACTACACCACACAATATTTTCAGCTTTTCTGTAAGATTGCAAATTTGCATGATAAAACGTTGGGGGAAAGTATATGGTGATTACACTGAGATTTACTGGTTTAAATAAATCTCAGAAGTTTAAAGCAGAACGCAAATCTTACCCAGCACTTACTGTTAGTTCATGAGACATAAGATAGGAAGTGGACTGAAGGAAGGGAGCATCAGCAGCAAACGAACAACACCCCAGAGACCTGGGGGCGGAAGGGATGCTCAGGCGAGGCGAGCTCTTTTTGTCCACAGACATCCTTCCTAATGTCGCCTCAGTTTAAAACTCTTGTGGCTGGGCGCGGTGGCTCACACCTGTAATCCCAGCACTTTAGGAGGCCAAGGCGGGTGGATCACAAGGTCAGGAGTTCGAGACCAGCCTGACCAAGATGGTGAAACCCCGTCTCTACTAAAAATACAAAAATTAGCTGGGCATGGTGGCGTGCGCCTATAATCCCAGCTAATCAGGAGGCTGAGGCAGGAGAATCGCTTCAACCCAAGAGTCGGAGGTTGCAGTGAGCCAAGATTGCACCAGTGCACTCCAGCCTGAGGGACAGAGTGAGACTCCATCTCAAAAAAAAAAAAAAAAACTCTTGTTACTCCGCATAATTTTAAAATAAATCACTTCAGTGTATCAATTATCAAGTTATATATTCCTAAGTATAAAGTCTCAAAACAAAACACATGACCTTGAGTTGCAAATATAATACTATGTGTATATTCTGTCAACTAACTGAAATGAATTCAGTAATTTTATACCAAAACGTCATTTATATCTCTGTATATCCAAAGTAATTTTTCCTTTAGTTTTATGACACAGTCTATAACCTTCAGTAAATTACAGTGAGGAAAAAAAACATAATGACCATCTTACGTGATAGACAAAGTAATTATCACCACTTTGAAAATACTGTCCGTCACTTCTCCTTAATGTTGCTTTTGTTAATAAAATGCATCTCTGGAGTTGCAAAACCTAAACCAGGCAAAAAGATGAGTTTGTATTTAAGCAGATCATTTTAATAGAGATAGTACTGTGATCAAAGGAACAACTGAGAGTGTTCTGTATGTATCTTCTGGTCTTGGAGAGGGCCTACAGTTTCCCTGCACACAAGAGGCCCTCAACAAAAACTCAAATCCTAACCATTTTCCAAAGCTTAACTCAAGTTCTATCTTCCTTGAATGTTTTCCTAACCATGCAAACCCACCTTATTCTCAGCTAACCACACAGTCTTTCATCTGAAAGAAGCTGTAGCGCCCATCTATCATATGGTCTCATTTACACAGGAATCTTTTTCTAATACACCTGACACATAGCCATCAACTCTGCCCAAGTTAGTTAGTTCATCACCTAAGAAGGCAGTGCATTCATCACCTAATAAGGTAGCCCATGCTACTACACAATAGCTCTAGTGATTAAATCATGCCCTCTGATAGTTCTGAATCAGTAACATCAGGAAGTTTAACTAGAAGAACACTCAAAGTCCCTCCGAGGACTAAATTCTAAGAGTCAGTTAATTTGCTGACTCTGCCTGACAGCTACCCAGGACGGGATGGAAGGGATGGAAGGACAAGATCCCTGTCCTCAGGGGTCTCACACCCTAGGGTGCCCCTGTTAACTTGGAAATCTTAGAATGCCAGCATTTAAAAAGACTTCAAGATGGCATGGTCCCACATCCTTATTTTAAAATTGGATTATAGTCACTGCCCCAGAAAGCTGAGGGAGTTAGACAAGGCCATGGAAGAACCCCTTATCCCACTTGTATCATCTGCAATAGCAGGATATTCTACTCTGCTCTTAAATGCTCCAAATAGATTTTTTTTTTAAGATGGAGTCTTGCTCTCTCACCAGGCTGGAGTGCAGTGGCGCGATCTCAGCTCACTGCAACCTCCGCCTCCCGAGTTCAAGCGTTTCTCCCGCCTCAGCCTCCTGAGTAGCTGGGATTACAGGCACGCGCTGCCAAGCCTGGCTAATTTTTGTATTTTTAGTAGAGACGGGGTTTCACCATGTTGGTCAGGCTGGTCTTGAACTCCTGAACTCATGATCCGCCCGCCTCAGCCTCCCAAAGTGCTGGGATTATGGGCATGAGCCACCACGCCCGGCCAGATTTTTTTAAATTACCATTTTTCTCCGTAGTTTTACCTGTTCCAAAAAGGAAGAAGATAAAAGTTCACTTTTAAACACACTAATGCTTGCAGGGATGACAAGGAAAGCAAGTGCATATTGCCAGAACCCTGTTCCATGAAGGTAGGTGTCTCGATGTACACTTCTCTCCACCTTCCTCAACACCTCCCAGGGTGCTACAGCAAGGGAAGTACAGATGTGCTAAGCCTTTGCTATTGGAATAACAAAGAGCGTAGTAAGATGAAAGCAGTGTCTCTTGAAACTCTCCTAGGGCCTTGTTCCTCATTCCATGCACATATCCTGTGCCGACTCAACATCCCCTCTGCTCCACAGCTTATCTCAGAAAGAACTAAGTTACGGTGCCAAGCTAAGAGGATGAATTTAGAAAGCTTCACATAACCAGACGCACAGCGACAGCAGCCATCAGACATCACCCAGATTTAACTGCCCTAAAATTAGCAGTCAGAGCAAAGTAGTTACTGCAATGATTGCGTCAGAGCTATTCTGACTGGCAAACTGCCAGTTTTAAACAAATTGTCCTGCTTTCTCTACCAGGGAAACAATATTTTGGAACAGAGCCAGCTAAGCATTTCAGTGAATGTTCAAATTCTAGCTTCTCTATTAATGTTGTATAATTCAATGACAAGGTGAACAAAGTCTACATAGGCTACATCTGCAAGGGTGTTATTTTCTTTGTTGTAAGCACTTATTCTTTGGGTGAGTAAAGTACTGTGGATGAATCCTTTTAAATATTTAAATGCCTGAAATGTATTTAGGGATTCACATTCAACTGGCTTAAACAAAGATTATGCAAATCTAGCAAAATATAAATGCAAAACAAAAATTGTTTTCCTCTTATATTTCTTTTAATCTTGGCAAAGACTCGGGCTAAAAAAAATGTTCTCTGCATGATCACAGAAGGACCCACTCACTTCCCAACAAAGAATATATAACCTGATTCAATCAGTAAAACTGCTACCTCACCACAAATTACAAAATTTCTAGTTAATAACAGACAATTCACTGGCTGAGAGAACAGGGCAGTTTTTAGACCAGAACAATGAGCTCATTAGCCCAACCCTCAGCCTCCACTTCCCCCTTTCAGTGATAGTGAGTCGGTAATTCCGCCATTCTTATATGCACACACCTTCTTTAGTTCCCTCCCTCTCTCCCTTCTTCCTTTCTGTCTTTTCATTCTTTCCTTTCATCATGATTTATTGAAACCTACCATACCTTACAAGTGAGCTGTAGAATAAAGAACACTATAGCTGGAACCAAGAGAAATGGGTTTAAAACATAAGGACTCAGATTCAGAAAACCACACTTTCATTAAACCTTAGTTTTTGTATCTGTAAAAGGGAAAAAAATCCCACCAGCCTTATAAGGTTCTCGTTAAGTATACATGAGAGAACACAAATGAAAGTTCAAGCACGGTAACATTTTACACTCGCCTTTAAGAATATCTCTCCCCAATTCTTTATTCTCTTCATAAATCAACATTAGTCTCCTTCACTTATTCTTGTCATTTAAAACATTTTTTTTTTTTTGTGACAGGGTCTCACTCTGTCACACAGGTTGGGGTCCACTGGCACGATCAGCCCACCGTAACCTCGAACGCCTGGGCTCAAGGGATCGGCCCTCCTCAGCCTCCCCAGTGGCTAGGTCGACAGGTGTGCACCACCACACTCGGCTCATTTTAAAATTTTCTGTAGAGATGGGGCCTTGCTTTGCAGTCCAGGCTAGTCTCAAACTCCTGGGCTCAAGCAATCCTTGCCTCAGCCTCCCAAAGCACTGGGATTACAGGCATGAGCCACTATGCCCAAATTAAAACATTTTAAATGGGAAAAATGACCTATTATTCCAAACAAATGAGTTACAACGATCCTCAAATAAAATTGGTTGATAAATTGGATGCTTCTACTATCATGTATGCCTTGCTTACAGCACTTATCACAGCATACCTTATACACAAATGTAAACAAATAGGAGTTAGAATGACATCCCTCTAATGTCATATTATAAGAACTAGCACTACGTTAAGATATTAAAGATAAAAGACTTTTACCATATAAAATTAAGACTATGGCTACTGAGCACCTACCACATTTAAGGCATAAATAATATCCTCATGTACTGAGTCAACAAAAGATGCACTATACAATACTGATGGGGTTTTTAAACATCATGATTTCCTGTAGAAATGAACCCTGCTAATGGACTGAGAGCTAAAGGACTACAGACAGTACTACACAATTCAGAAATCCTTTCTGTTCAGTAAGCTTGATTAAGCCCCAGCCAGGGCTTTTAAGTCAACTGCAGCCTCATGGGATTCAAATAGGGCTATGCAGGCATCAGCACAGATGAGACTTTGAAACCTGGGAAAGGTGTGAATCATACTCTCTCATGAAAGGCGGCCACCTAAGGGTGCCCAGGCTCCCAGGAACCACACCCCTCTGAATGGGGCTATAAAGTTCTTGATGTAACAGATGGAACACAGTCCCTCTTCAGAAACTTCCACATTTTTACCAGTTCCATATCAGAGTTCAATCACAGGTCATTTCAAACGACCCAGGAAAGGCATAAATGAGGTATAAACTGTTGTTCAAGATAGATCATGTACAATAGAAATAATGATTAGAACTTGCTCAACAGTATTTAGTTCAACAAAAGCCAAGATAAAGGAAGTTCTTTTACGTTCAACCCACAACTCCCAATCATTTCTTTAACAAATATTTGTTTACTGTGAGCCTATTATGTGGCAAAAACCACCTAAGTGCAGGGAATACAGCAGTAAACCAGAAATGTCCCTGCCTGTTTGCTGCTTATGTTCCATTATTAAAATCGAACAGGAGGATGGGTGGGGGTGGATGGTGCTCGTTTAGCTGGAAGTTACTGGAGATACAAGAGCAGGGCTCCCTGCTGTCTCTCCTCACTCATTCCCAACCCACTAACGGCTGGGAAGCCAGGCATTCCTTGCACTACGGGTGGCTGTGTGCTACAGTTCTGGCCAATCACATACAGACAGAGCTAGGCTGTCAATCTGAACTTTTAACATACCCTGATCCTGGGAATGCTTTCGTCTGAGTGTGATAGTATGATGCTTCTTAAACAGCTGAGTTCAGAACAGGCACAGTGGCTCACGCCTGTAATCCCAGCACTCTGGGAGGCCGAGGCGGGCAGATCACGAGGTCAGGAGATCGAGACCATCCTGGCTAACATGGTGAAACTCCGTCTCTACTAAAAATACAAAAAAAAATTAGCTAGGCATGGTGGCAGGCACCTGTAGTCCCAGCTTCTTGGGAGGCTGAGGCAGGAGAATGGCAGCAACCCAGGAGGCAGAGCTTGCAGTGAGCCAAGATCGCACCACTGCACTCCAGCCTGGGTGACAGTGCGAGACTCTGTCTCAAAAAACAAAACAAAACAAAACAAAAAAACAGCTGAGTTCAATTAGAAACTTTCTAAGGAGAATAGCATCGCCATTACATTAACCTCCTACCCCTCAATAAATGAAACCCCAAACCAAGACCCACAAGCAATTCTGGAAGAAAACAGGCCAAAGTCAGAAATGTCTTCGGGAAAAAGAATAAATACACAGTAAATATAAGGCCCATCAAGAGTGGAGTTTGTCTTCCGCTTGCCTCACAAGACCCTACAGGCTCCCTAGAAATTCCATTTCTCAACTGCTATAAACTCTAACCAGTGATAGTACAACAGTGGTCTCTACACAGGGGCCACACATTTCAAAGATACAAATGCCCTTGAGATGCAGAGAAAATACTTCTACATCTATTTATTTTTAATATTAATCTTCTTAAAATGTACATTTGTTTTATGTCCATAATATCTTAGCACAGTAAAGTATATGTTTATACATACAGATATATTATACATATACACACACACAAACGTGCATGCAGATATGTATACATGTATACGCATACATACATGAACACTTAGACAATTGTGTATAGATGGGATGCACGTTGAAAAAAGTTTGAGAACCTTGAGAACCTGCTAAAAAGAAACCACTGTTTCTTGCATTAGGCCATTTAAACACCTGAAACAGGTAGCATTTGCCCTGTACAAAGAATCAAAACTATAATTCCTAAAATTACTTATTAGAAACTTCAATACGGAGAGGACAGTATCCCAAAGCTATTCCTGAACAATGTGAATACCCACTGTTCAACAAGGAACCAAATGTGTTATCAAAACCACCTCCAGAAGACAGTGAAAGTAGTTATGCTGACTTCACAGGACACTATGTCTTAAGCATTAACCAGAACTTTCTTTTAAAACTCCACACAATAGTTCATCTCAGCAGACATAATCTTTTATTCACCCAGGAGTTCTTACTTTCCACAATAACAATTTTTAACACTGGCTCTTTACCTAGATATTTTTACTTAAGAGTTTGAATAAACTACCAGATAGCTTACTTCGGACTGTTCTGATTTCTTGAGGAACTCAACTAAATGGGGATATTTCTCAGAAGATTAAGCAAATATGTAGAAGTGAAAAATATGGAGTAATCTAATGGGCAGAGTTCAAGACACCCCTTTTGGCTAAATGTTTATTAGTAAAATAGGAAGAGAAGTATATCAACCAATTAAAACAAAACCGGAAGAGACTGTGGTGTTCTTCCCCACTATCTGAAAGCAATTCAACACAAGAGAATACCAAACCAAAAAATAAGCTGAAGAAAGTCCAACAATATTCTGATTTTTCCTAGAAGCACTGCAGTTCCTAAGGCCTCCGGAGGTCACAGATCACAGTGTGACCCTAGTGTCTCAATCCAGTCAGTCATTTAACACATTTTCTTAATCATATGCAGAAGAGAGTGCTCGTTACTAGGGACACACTGAAAATGAACTCATTATTACTCAGCATAACTTGGTCAGTAGAACCAGCAAAGGAGGTTTGACACACTCTTTCAGGATATCCATGTGGAAAGGTGGAGCTATATGGGCTAGTTATAAGATATGAAGAGCATTAGTAGTTAACTATAACCGAGAGTGTGACTCCTTGTAAGCCTCGAGGGAAGCTTCCAGAGACACACTTCGTGTTGTTCAGCCAGTTTAACAATTTCATCACCGGCTTAAGTAAAGATATAAAAGAGTCTGATCTAATAATGTACAGACAGCATTTCTTTGGGAGGACAGGTAAAGGTGCCAAATAATATAATCAAATTCTAAAAAGCATGATGGAAAGAATCAGCTAAAATAAAGCAAAACCACAGCGCAATAAATGTTAGGTTTTGCAATGACATCAGCGCAAGATGGAAAGACGAGGTTCAATGGCAGCATGTGATTAACGGCTCGGCAGGTTTTAGCGAAAAGGAAACTCGTTGAGTCTGGCCACCAGAAAAGTAAATGCAAACTTGGACTACATCAGTGCAAGCAACATGCAACCTATGACAAGACACTCCTGCTGTACTCTACACAGGTCATGTTCACGGGTCACGTTACACCAAGAGCCCAACTCTGACAGAGACTGAAGGATTTGTTCTGTAGGCCACCAAGGCAGTAGAATTTGAATAAACAAGCAGAATCAGATTTCAATTCTATAGGCCAAAAAACTTTCTAGTACTCAAAACCATTAAAAGGTGGAAATCACCACCCGTTACTTGCAATGTTCAGGTATTACCGGAAGACCACTTACAGAGATTATATAAAAGGATCCAAATATCAAAGAAGGGTTAGTTGAGCTACTCAGTGATTTCTAAACCCCGGTCCTTAGTGAATTTTTCATTGACCCATGCAAAAGAAAAAAGTGTCTGTGTGGGGATAGATATAAATCCACGAGTGGGGTAATTTTAACACAGCTCCTCTCTGGATAGGAAGAACTCTCCTTTAAGTCTGACAGCATACATATTCTTCCCCCTTTCCCCACCTTTTCTCTTTTTTGGTACATCAAAAGGATTTTGACGAAATGCATTGACAATAGGTAGTAACTGCTGTTGTCAATTTTAAACACACTTATGTAGCAACATTAAATGCTGACATATCTGACAATCCCTAATATTTGCTTTTTTTTTTTTTTTTCATTTTACAGGTAGACGAAAACAAAAGGTATAGGAACAACATGACGAGACAATCTTTAAGGTCCTTTCTGGCCCAAAGGAGCATGACAACTAGACTCGACTTGCTGCATATTTTCTTCCTTCCTACCACCCAACTTGGCTATCTAGTACTGGGGGAGAAGAACGAACCAAGGAATTGGGTTGCACTAAATATGAAATCTCTCAAGAAGCAGAACCTCAACAGTGAGTCAAGATCTGGCTCCCTTCTACAGCTGCTGTTCTTTGGAACCAAAGTTTATGAATCCAGTTCAGAAAGGATCAAAATAATCTATGTCTAAAGTTGGGAAGCTTTTAAATTCCTACCACATTGTTACCACACTTTTAAAAGGAGTCACAGCTACATGCAACTGGAACACAAAAAGCAATTTCTGAATCATTGATTTCAAGGTAAACCAAGTAGCTATGACCCTCATGCAAAGCATTCACATACAAACTTACTATAGGCCAAGGCAAAGAAATGACATAATCATGAAAAATATAAACATCCCAGTCAGACAGGCATTTTCATTACTCTAATGCGTTCGTCTTAAACCTTAAAGAAACCCCAAATTTTGGTGCTGAAAGGGATCATGAAAATAGTTTCATCCAAATTCATTTGTGACAGGTGGTAGAGGCAGGAAGCTCAAGGTTCCTGTCTGTGCCTAAAGCTTTTTCTACTCTCACTCTGCAAATGAATTAGGCACATTAACAGAAGTAGAAAACCTAGAACATGGTTCACTATTCTCTAGGACTGTACTTTGTATTTCATTGAAGTTCAAAACAGAAAGAAAAAAAAAAGCAGCTTTTCAATTAACAATACCCTAGTCTAAATTTTCTTCAAATTCAGTGTGTCTTTAAAAGGATTTGTAATCCTCAACTACCACCATAAATTGATCAGAAGTTCAAAAACTCAATGCCTTCCTCAATCTCAAAAAATAACGCTGCATTTACCAATTATGGTTGGGGGCAAGGGGCTGTATCCACATAAACACATAGTTCTTTGCAAAGTATGCAGGAAACACAATCCCTTTAAACTAGTTTCGATGCCCAAACACAGTGCTTTTAAACCAGTTTCAATTACCAAACAACTGGTTTTTCAGGGTAGCTAGTATTTCCTTACTTTCAGAAATAGACTGCTAATTTCAAAATAATAACCCGCTTCTCCTTTGCCTCAGGTAAAAAGATCCCCAAGGTGGACAAGTGTTTACTAAGCTCAGGTATCAAGGAACCCTTCAAAACACCATCCCAGTCTTGCGGGGTGAGGGGGAGAAAAAAAAAAACACCTTCCAAATCCATATTACACAGCTTTAACTACAGTAAGCATCATAGAAGCCAAATCATGATCTGATAATTCCCTTATTAGACTAAAAGTTACATTCCATACAATTAAAGCTCTTTGAGAAAATCTATGATTTCAAAACATAAAAAGCATCTAATGAAAAACATATACTTAAAGCAACTGGGTAAAATCTGTGGCCCATACTAAAAGCCAGAAGCTCCACCCCCATACCTGTGATCTAGCTCTTGCTTTTCCGGATCAAGTGCTTACACTGCTTCTTATCCAGGTTCATTTCACCCCATCTATAGGTAGAATGTGGGTACTGATAAAAGCTGTTTCTGATTTCATTTCCTACTTCCCAGATGTTTGCTCTGTAGTTTTTCTTCTTTTTCCTTCAGCTATTTATGAATACACTCTAATTTAGAACAAATTCAGTATGTCTTATTTTAAGCTGGGCAAGGCACACAATAAATGATAGCTACAAAGATAATTTCAAGATATTTACTCAGCGTATAAATAAGTTTGCCTACCTAGGCAAGATTTGGACAGGCTGCCGTGATCTTGCTTTAGAATAAAAGTGCTTAAAAACATAACTGGGAGCCTGCTGCTGCTGCTGCTGCTGTTACTGCTGAAACTACGGGCTATTGTGCTTGTCATAAAAGGGCTTGTGCTTAGAAATGAAAAAATCAAACATCCTCTGGGGAGATGTCCCTAACACAATCCCTGGTATGAATCATGCAGATACTTTAACTGCATCTCTTCCCAAAATGGATCAATGGAATCTTTTAGGAAGAATCAATGTGATTTATACCCAAAACTTAAGAAAGACTGCATTTTTCTCATGAATAATACTCTCTTATAACTCTGAATCAAGCAGTGAAATTCAATCAAGCGGTAAACATCTTTTAACTGGAAATATTGTCTAAACAGAATGACAAAACTAACAGAACTCTGAATTCTTTAAATAAGTCCAAACATGAAACAAGCATTCTTAAATGATGTAACTAAATACAGTAACCAAGTTGTCTCTTGAAATTCAACTTTGGGAATGCCAAAAATAATAGGCCACCTCTCAATATCCGCAAAAATATCGGTATGTGTAGGTTTTCTAGGAAAGCAATAAAAAGCAACAGTTTGGGAGATCTTTTTTCTTCAATTACTAATTGTAACACTAGAAAAATTACAACCTAGGCTGCACACAAACGCGACTCAAATGGGCAGTTTACTAAATGTCTGTCATAAGAAAGCCATCTAGTGTTAACGTTTAGAATGGAGACTGCAGACAAAAGAGGCAAAGAAAAGAAAAATCTGTGCGACTATTTTGAACTTACTGGGCAAAGACATGAGAATCACCAAGATTCTTTGAGGGTTTTTTTCCTTGTTTTTTTTAAAAAAAAGCCATCCTTGTCAAAACCCAGTCTCAATCTAACCAAAATCCAAAATGTCTACAATTTTGTTTTGACCAAAATCATGTTTTGGTGAGCACAATTCCGTAACCAATGCACTTGATTTTTTCCAATACTCAGGCCAGAGTCATCTTGGGCTGAATTAATTTAACTCAAGCAGGTTAATGATGACAAATATCTCCCACAGGGGTAATGCCAAGTTGTTCTCTCTTTCCGAGAAGCCTCGGCTCTCTCTTGCAGATGATGAGCCGAAATTGATTCTTTGGGTTTGCGGCACGGCTGAAAATTAATCTGTAGGTGTTCCCAGGGATATTCCCAGGACGTGGGCAAACTACCCTCACTGACACGGGAAGACCCGGAGAGGCCCAGGAGCTGGCAAAGTGGGAAGAAAGGTCGCGGTGAGTGAGAAGAGCGCTCGCCGGAGGCTCCCGGTCTTACAAAGAGGGATCCGTCCCGGTGAGGGCGCGCGCTCCGGGCGCACCCCCTCTAGAAGGGGAATTAGCCCCGCAGCAAGTTCGGCGTCAGCTGGCCAGGCGCGCCGGGGAAGCTGCGTCGGGCAACCGCGAGCCCTTCCAGAGAGCGTTAGTCAGAGCGAAGTTCTGGGCACCTGGAGAAGACCCTCCTCAGTGCCTGTGTCGCCGAGACGGGAATAACCTTTCAGCCGATCGATAACTTGGAGAGAACAGGCGGCGGCGGCTCCTCTTCCAGCCGGGGATCGGGAGCGCGGGCGCATCTGCGTCTACAAGCCGGACCCTGCGCCGCGACCCTCGCACCCCCGCGCCCCTCGCACCCCTCGCCGCCGTCAGCCCCCCAAAGCGCCCCGAAGGGCATCCCCTTCCCCTTCGGGACAGTCCCCGCCTGGCCGCAGGCATCCCGAACCGACCCTCGCCACGCTGCCCGTCGGATTCCCCGACACGAACCTTCGCAACGCCGTCCGCCGGAACCTGCTACAGCCTGTGCGCGCCGGGCGGCGCGTACCCGGGCTGCCGCCTCGCCGCCCGCCGCTGCCCGGGGCTGCCCATCGGCCCGGACTCTCCCCGCGCCGGGCTCCGGCGGAGGCGGCCCGGACCCGCTGGCTGCGGCTGGAGCTCTCGGCCTGCGCTCGGGCGGCCGGCGGGGGCGCGGTGCTCCTCCTCCGTCCTCCTCCTCCTCTCGCTCCGCCAGCTCCTCCCGGGCTCCCAGTCTGCCGCGCCGGCTCCCGATGCCACCGCCCGCCCGCCCAGCGGCACCGCCCCCCGCCCGCTCTGCGGGCTCCCATTGGTCGCTGCCTGCAGGCCCCCTCGGCCCCGCCCCACGATTGGGCGCGGACGCCGTCAGTCTCACCGTCCGCCCGGCTCCGGGCGCAGCCGGTGCGCTGTTCCCAGGCCCCGCGGCGCGCGGGAGCTGCGCGTCCAGGAGGGGCCCGGACGCCCTTCTTGGGGAGGGGGCTGCGGGGCGCATCATGAGCGGCGCTGGGCGAGCTCGAGGGCCGGGCAGCCTACCTGGACCCCGGCTTCTAGAGAGCCGTCGCCGTCCTTGTCGAGACTCGCTTTCGCCCCTCTGAGGAATAAGTTAAAAACCGCGAGTCTGGTTCTGAGCCGCCCCCTGGCGCAGGCGCGACCCCACCCGGCCCTCCCGTCTCCCAACTTGGGACAGACGCGGCGGCCGGGCGGTCGGATCCGTGAGCCTCGGCCGCTGGGGCTACATACACAGCCCAGGACGCCACAGAATCGCCGAGGCCCCGCGAACGCCCAAACGGCCGCAAGTCGAAGTGATCCCATCTGAAGAAGACAGCGCGAGGAAGCGAGACCCTGCTGTGTGCCGGCCCCCGGAGGGCGCCCCGGGCCCTGTGGGTCGGAGGGTGGGGAAGCACAGAGAAACACGCAGGCAGTAAAACGTTAGGAGGACAGGGGGTGCCAGCGTGCAGGAAATGCTGCTAAGAGACCTTTAGGAGCCAAGGGGAAAACGGAGAGATTGGCAGTTCCAGGCACCCACATCCCAGCGCGGTCCGCTCACCCCTTCCTCCCTGCCCTCCAGGCAGCGCTCAGCCCACGGTAGAAATGTCTTGCATCTTTTTTCCGACGAGGAAGAATTGAACTTTTTATACCCAACTTTTCTGCTTTCTTAGAAATGTTGACTCACCTGTGAGGAAGCATTATTTGAAACTATTATTGTAAATTGCTTGACATTTGAATTAGATGCTGAAAGATTAAAGGGTCTCAGAAGAATCTTTTAAGCTAGACTGGAATTGACTCTGCCTAAATGGACAGCAACAGTCATCTATACGCAGGAATAATAAAGCAGGTGGAGGCAGCCTCTAACTTACCTTCCAGCCACACCGTAGAATTTCCTGAGCAGGCTTTTTTGTCAGAGTTTTGAGCTGGGTTCCCTGAGACTGGATTGGGGCTTTCAGTTTCTCCCCTTCTAGAGTCAGACTTCTTCCTGAAGAAAAAGTGTTATCTCTACTTCCCTATCACAAACACTTCCTAGAACACAGCCCTGTTAAAAGGTAAATAGAGGCGGTCCTTCCCACACTATATTTCTCTGTGATCTGAAGCATGTACACATTATACAATCTTTCGTATCTTTTTAAATTATAGGTATAATCTGTGGGATTAGATATAACTAAACAGGTCAAGAAGCAATCCTGTGACATAATACAATTCCTGAGCACTCCAGGTTTTGATGAGTTTCCCAATTGTCACCCCATTATCAGCATTTACAAGATTGTCATGTATTCATTTAACAAACATTTATGAAGCCGGGCGCGGTGGCTCAAGCCTGTAATCCCAGCACTTTGGGAGGCTGAGGCGGGAGGATCACAAGGTCAGGAGATCAGGATCTTCCTGGCTAACACGGTGAAACCCAGTCTCTACTAAAAATACAAAAAATTAGCCGGGCGTGGTGGCAGGCGCCTGTGGTGGCAGGCACCTGTAGTCCCAGCTACTCGGGTGGCTGAGGCAAGAGGATGGTGTGAACCCGGGATGTGGAGCTTGCAGTGAGCCGGGATCATGCCACTGCACGCCAGCCTGGGTGACAGAGTGAGACTCCGTCTCAAAAAAAAAAAAAAAAAAACAGATTTATGGAGATCCTCTGATGTTCCAGACCATACTAGGTGCTGGGAATATAAAATGCACAGGACATAAGGCTCGGCTTTTCAAGAGCTCACCAACTCACAGGTGTATCCTCATATGTTGTAGATACTCTACAAGAGGTATCAATGTTATCTCCTGTGTACTCAACAAAACCCTGCAGGAGGAGCAGCCGTGAAGGAACTTTTCCTGGGAGTGCCTAGGGAGGACATGATCACATTTCACCTTATTGCGTGTTTCATTGTCTATAAGGGCCTTGAGGAGAAGAACCACATCTCCTCCAGCATTTTGATCCCTAAGGCACAAATCCACTACAATCCGGAGCAGATCCTTGGTCAGTGGGTTGTCATTGAGGTGGGTCTTAACTGCTGCAGCTACAAATGTACACTGTCTAATAGATGAAGAGGAACCCATCCCTTTGATGTGTTCCTTAATATCCAGTACATAATGATCATATATGGAAGGAAGTCTGACCAGACACTCTTCGATGACGGTGTTAGCCACAATTCTCACTCTCTCACCTTCCCATCCCACTTCTTGTGCTTTCCAAACTAAAATTGAAATATCCTAAGCCCCACTACCAAGGTTGGCAGTATTTTTTTTAATGCCTGTAATTGATTGTGCAGAGTAAATATTTGTGTACGTTTATGAAGGTCCGTGGGAGTTTCTTACTTTCCCAGAACTCCACGTCACATGAGGCTGGCCTTCATCGGAATGTTCCTGCTTTCAACAAACAGGTCCTGAGTGAGCCCCTTTGCTGTGCAGAACAATGGTGATACATACAGGCGAGAGCAAAACCCACGAGGTGTCCACCTCACGGCCGACCACAAGAGATCCTCAAGAGACACATCTCAGGAATGATTCTGAACCTTCTTCACCAAATAAAATATTCCAGAAATAGTATTAGATTTAATGTGTGTGTCCCTCCTTGCTGGTCTTCCTAGCAGCAGCCTTCTTGTTTCTTGCCTTTTTAGGCAAACAGCCTGAAACTTAGCACAGACGGTGGAATTGCAGCACCTATGAAGATATCACTGCATCCTTTTTGCCTCAGGACATCTTACTGAAAATCATTCTATGTTAAAGCTATACATTTTGCTGAAATTTTGAAGACAAACATCAATGGTGAATTATAAACTTGTATTTGCCTAAAGGCTAGTGTGAACTTATCACTTTCGCCTTCCCCCAGGCCAAGATTTTCCCTCCCCTTGTTGCCCAAGCCTCACTTTCTATCCCTCAAAATTCTTCTTTCTCCTGTGAATTGCATCGTGTTCTAGGGGTTCCCAAAGAAACAAACTAAAGGGATTAATTCTTTTTTTTTTTTCTTTTTTCTTTTTTTGGCAGGGGATGGAGTCGCTTTGTCACCGAGGCTGGAGTGTGGTGGCATGATCTTGCCTCACTACAACCTCCGCCTCCCAGGTGCCAGTGATTCTCCTGCCTCAGCCTCCCAAGTAGCTGGGATTACAGGCACGCACCATCAAGCCCTGATAATTTTTCTATTTTTAGTAGACATGGGGTTTCAACACGTTGGCCAGGCTGGTCTGGAACTCCTGACCTCAAGTGATCCACCCATCTCGGCCTCCCAAAGTGCTGGGATTACAGGCGTGAGCCACCGCGCCCGGCCTAATTCTTTTTACAGTTTTCTTCCAGCACATCCACGCCTGAAATAATTCCAACATCAGTCTTACCTATTTTTCTCTAAGTGTAAAGAGAGCTGGAGTTCAAAGACATACCAACTGTCTACCCTGTTCCAAGGTTTTGCACTTCTTGGCTGACCTTGCCTGGTACTTCTAGCTATTTACGTTTGAATTTAGCAAAACGGGAGTTTTATTTTCTTGACACACTGCAGCAAGATTCTACCTACAGATGAAATGTGTACACTGTAATAAACCTGAATACCTAAGTTAAATAAGGGTTTACACTCCTATCCTTATTTCCTCCTTCCGTTTTCTATTACTAACCATCTTTTAATAAGTATTTCTTTTATGTCAAATGAAGATGTATAATTTGCAACAAATAGGCGTTGAACGCATATTACATTCAGGGTATTATATTGGACTCTAAGGACCCAAAGGGCAATATTTATTAGAGTATATGAATTTTATGATGAGGAGAAGAACTTGAGAGCAGGTGCTCGTGATCACCAATGAGTGGCGCCCACAGAGAGAGCAGGAGAGCCAGCCATCTGGCTTGGGCCAACCAGCAAAGGCCTGACCAAGGATGTGAAACTGGCCAGGCGAGAAGGAGAGAAGAGAGCACTCTACCCCTGGCAAGAGGAAGCACTGTGGGCGAAGACACAGGAGCTGCCTGTGTCAGGCATGTTTGAGAAACAGCGGTGCCCTTTGGCCAAGCACAGGCTTATTCACTTGTGTAACAAACACTTACATGGCACTTCATCCATGTCAGGTTCTGTTTTCCTCTTAGAAGGGAAGTCCTCACAGACAGACAAGCACATGGGTGCTGCTTCAACTTTTCTTTTCTTTCTTTTTTTTTTTTTTTTAAAGGAAACCTCTTACAACAGAAACATGTTTGAATATGGTCTTGTGAGGTAAATTAAGAAATACAAAGTTCTGCTGCAATTTTAAAAGAAATGGTTCAGCTGCAGCTCAGAAAGCTGGGTTACTGGCTTTAGTGTACTACCAGTCATGATAAAAAACAAAGCACATGTTTATCTTAAAATGAAAACCACTAGAATAACATAAAACCAATAGGACAACATAAATGATGTGCTAAGTACCCTATACTGTCCATAATAGCCTTAGAAGAAACCCATCTAATATAAAAGTCTCAGTTCTGTGGATATCTACGGAGGCCTACTCTGTGTTCAGTTCTGCTCTGGGGGATGCGGATTATTACAGATAAATAATGAGACGATCCTCAAGGAAATAAAATACTACCTAGCTGGGAGTTTCACAGAGGAAGCAATTTTCAGATTACTGCAAAGACAACACATTTAAAATGCCAACTTGAATTTAATGTTGTATAGATGTGTGACATGGAGATCTGGAATGGCCAATCCTGGATTGCGTGATTAAGGATCACTGACAAATATCCTTCAGAAGCGAAAAGTTTCTTGTGTTCTTAATCGCATGTTTCAGAAATTTAAAATCCAATGTTTGTCTTTGCTGCAATGTGTCCAATCTAATGTATCTCCAAGAATCTTCTAAGACAGGTGGGTTATTTCTTTTCTGATGATTCAAACTCTTGGCCGTAGCTATTTTACATTTTATACCCCTTGTTATCTCTTTCACTTTCTCTAGTCTCAGACCCACAGGTTAACAACTTGTACTAACTTTATCACTATGAGAGGTGTCTTCTGCCTCTTGCCTTACTTGGAAGGAAGGAGAGGGGAAGGAAGGAAAGGAAGGAAAGAAAAGAAAGAAAGAAGGAGGAAAGGAGGAAGAGATGGGGGAGAGAGAGAGGGAGGGAGGAAGGAGGGAGGAAGGAAGGAGGGAGGGAGGACAGAAGGGAGGGAAGGAAAAAGAAAAGAGAGGAAAGGAAGGAGAAGAGGAGGGAAGGAGAGGGAGAGAAGGAGAGAGGGAGGGAAGAAGAGAGGGAGGGAGGAAGGAAAACAGCTGAAGACACAGTAGGTCATCAGTGTTTGCCACTTGCTGCTGTCCTTCAAGGAGGAGACTGGAACTTTATATCCAGCACCTCACACAGAACCTGGCAAAAGACGTGGTCTTGATCGATATCTGATGAATGAATAGGGAGTGGGTGGATGGATTGCACTGAGAGAAAGTACTGTATTGATCTTTCTCTGTTCTTCCATAGCAGATTTAAAGTTTATGTCTTGATCTTCCAAATTTTATTTCTACTTGGGACAGACAGGATCCTTTAACGAGTGTTTTTGGTTCTACTTTTATGAAATAACAATAATAATGACATGTTAGTTGAATTGACCTATAGAGCATCTGCTATTCTACACCACTAGATGGCGTTTATCAATAGTAATGCTCAAAAGCACCACACATACTCTGCCGAGTAATAAATCTAAAGAAATCAGTACAGAAAAGGCATATACAGCATACACATATATGTATGTAGATTTACATTTTACATTTGATTTCTTTTTAATATTGGTTATGTATCTAGGGCTGCCTATAATTTGGCAAACCACTTCCTTTCCTAATTTTAACAGTCTTATGTAAGAACAGTTTAGGTTCTTAATTAAACTCTAAGCAGCCTCAATGTGTAAGACATTTCACAGAACCTGGTGACTACTTCCAGGTCTTTCTGCAGTGCTGATGGAAAAACACACCCCCTGGGAAAAAATAATCTAGAAAAAGTTGAAAGCAATATGGAGAAAATAAAAAAAAGCAGATAGACTGTTCTGCCTGCCTTCATCATTCGTTCATTCATTTATTCATTTAACAACTAGGGACTGGACACCCAGTATTAAATACTTTGGAGGATGTGTTTGCTGTCTCATAAAGAAAAACTGTCAGAACACTGACAGGAAAATGCTTATGATATTTAAATCCTATAAGGGGACAGATTTTTGTTTTTAAAAAATTAAGAGTTATAAGGGAGAAATAGAGATACATTTGAAATGCTCTATCAAGACTATGTAGTTTCTGCTTTCCAGGTCCCAGGTGGATTAGCAAGGCCACATTTCCTCGTTCTAACATCTGGTTGTCTGCGAAATAGCTGCACTTGAGATTTCCTGGGGAGAGACCTAAGTGGGAAGGCAATTGAGGGAGAGAGATGGGAAGGAAGGGGAGCAAAGGAGCAGTGTGAGGAGGCAATCAGAGAGAAACATGAGAAGAGTGGCCAAGGGTTAGAAAGGTAAATCCTACCCACAAAATCTGAAAATTAAATCTTTGAAACTGCTTTGATGTGGAAAGAGCAAGCTCATACTCTATTTTAAGATTGTAGGAGTAAGGAGAAAAGGACCATAAAAGGAAACTGAAACACCTTAGCTCTCCTAATTCCAGTGTTTCCAGAAATTGTAAAATTAAGTGTCAACATTGCAAAAATGAACGCTGACTACTATGAAATTGTACTTATTTCCAGAAATGCAACAAATGACTAAGTATAGAGCCTGTGGCAGACACCATTTTCATCCTAAGTAAAGAGCCTGTGGCAGACACCATTTTCATCCTAAGTAAAGAGCCTGTGGCAGGCACCATTTTCATCCTAAGAGCTTTCGGCAGACACCATTTTCATCCACCTACAAAACACAGCAACAACAAAGGCCATCAGCATGTGACACTATTGCCTACAACTAAATGACCTAAAGCCAAATCTATCAAATTTTCCCGAAGGCTGGCAACCCTTGCTAGCCATGACATTTGTGATACAGATGTCACTCTGCTAAATACTAGACCAAGAGAGTTTTCTCTTGGATTCTTCTCTTTCTCTGCCTTCCGTGATCCAACAAGAACGATTCTGGTTTCCTCCAACGATCTCTCACACCAGCGTAGCCATCCTCCTTAGGTGTTTTTGTCCTTGAGTATGGACAACTCTCCTAAATAAGCTCTTCGTTTTCTTCCCCCTGGCTTCTAACGCACAGCTTAGATCCCTCCCATGCGCAGTTCACAATAAGGCTCATGCTCCTATGAGAATATGATGCTGCCACCGATCTGACAGGAGGCAGAGCTCTGGCAGTAATGCCAGTGATGGGAAGCAGCTGTGAATACAGATGAAGCCAGCCAGCCACTCACCTCCTGCGGTGCCACTTGGTTCCTAACAGGCCACAGACCCGGGGCCGGGGACCCCTGTTCTAAACCACCGGACACACAGTCCTTTAAGCACATAGATTTCCAGTTCACAATTCTTCTGGGCTTCCCATTGCATACTGAATAACATCAAAGTTCTCCTCACCTTCGTAACATTTACACATTCCATAGACTGCCTCCAACCTTAGTTTCCTGGATGGAACTCTCAGCAGTATTGACCACTGCAGAACACTTTCTCCTTCATGGAACATTCACCTTCCTTTGCCCCATTGTGCTACCTTCTCCTGGAACCCCTCCTTCCTCTCTGACACCTCCCTGCCTCTGAAACTCCTCTTCCTACCACCTTCACATCTGATGCACCTCAGGATTTCTCCTACCCTTCACCTGTTTCCTGACAAATCTCATCTTTTCCAATGTTTACAATTACAATCCTTGTGCTGGGACCCATGAACCAATATGGACAGCCTAGGAATGTATATTCAGCTCCCAGGAACCTAAGCATGCAGATAGATCGATATAGATATAGATAGATGTAGATATAGATATAGATATGTATCAGATGTCAACACTGCAAAAATGAACTCTACTATAATAGATATAGATTATATATCAGATGTTGACATTGCAAAAATTAACTCTGACTACTATGAAATTGTTCTTCTCAGTCAACATGTCTACTTGGATGCCTCAAAGGTAGCTCAATCTCAATACACCTCAACCCAATACATCAAAAAATGTAACTCTCCAGACTCCATTTCCTGTGATCCCCATTTCTGTAATAGCATCACCACCCATTTATTTGTCATTTCCAAAAGCTGGGGCTTCTCCTCAACCCCTCCTTCTCCCTCATGCTTTAATGCAATCAATGACCAGGCCTCTATCTCTACCTCCTAAATATATCTAGCATGTATCTACTTCTCCTAACATCCTTACTGCACCATCATGTCTTGCCAGGACAATAGCAACAGCCTCCTAAATGTTCTGTCTGTCTTCCTGCCTTCTGTCCAGCTCTTCTCTAATTCATCTGCCCTACTGTGGTCTTTCATACATGCAAATCAGATCACCTTCCTCCCTTGCTTTAAAACCCTCAGAGGCTTCCCATTGCCCTCAAGAGAAAAATTCCTTAACCTGGCCCTGTCTGCCCTTTCCAGCCGCCTGCCTTGCTCCCTATTCTTCAGCAATACCAAACAGTTCCCATAGTTCTACACTCCACACATTTCACCTCTCAGCCTCCACACAGACTTCCCGTGTGCCAAGAGTTTCCTTCTCTACCTGCTTCTGTCTTGCTAACCCCTCTTCATCCTTCAGGTCTCAAATGGCTCTCCCTCAGGAAGATCCTTCTTGATCCCTGTACTAGGCCAGGTCAACCCTCTATCTTCTTGTGGAGGTTTGGATCATAATCCCGAAACACACATTCCTGAACACCGTAATCCAGAATGTCAAAACCCCGAAAGATCAAAATCTCTAAAGTCTAAAATCCCCCAAATCCTAATCACAGGACAGTTGCATCATGTTAGGCCAGCTCTTATGGACTATCTGTGTGCAATTGCCCGTAATCTAGCCCTGCAACACACTTTTTCATTTGTTGAATTTTCCTTTTAGGTATTTTTTTTCCTTTTTTCTTTTCTTTTTTTTAAGTTTTTAAAAGTTTTTTTTGTTTTTCATTTTTTACTATTTAAATTGTCAGCCTTATGTTTTATAATTCACTATGCTGTGTACTTCATCTTTATGTCATTTGCAATACCAGAGGTATAAATCATGTGAAATCTTCTAGAGAATTCTAATTTCTTTTACACATTTTTTTTTTTTGCGAATTTGAACCCACAAGAGTGCACTATCAGAATCTTGACTTTGTGGATAAGCGCTGTGCACGTATGTGAAAATGTTGAAATTTCCTCAGTAAACGAAGAGAAGTTGTGATTGTACATCTTCTTTAGGAGAGATAAAATTTCTCAAAATCTCAGTTCTTTAGGCAACTGCACATGCAGTGGTAATCAGTTTTTTATTGATCTTCTCAAAAGGCAAAGGTTGTTCTTCACAGTATTTCAGATGACTGAAGTAGAGGCACACTGTTGCCAGCCACAGTGGCATGGCTTTTTTTTTTTTTTTTTTTTTTTTTTGAGACGGAGTCTCGCTCTGTCGCCCAGGCTGGAGTGCAGTGGCGGGATCTCGGCTCACTGCAAGCTCCGCCTCCCGGGTTCACGCCATTCTCCTGCCTCAGCCTCCCAAGTAGCTGGGACTACAGGCGCCCGCCACTACGCCCGGCTAATTTTTTGTATTTTTAGTAGAGACGGGGTTTCACCGTTTTAGCCGGGATGGTCTCGATCTCCTGACCTCGTGATCCGCCCGCCTCGGCCTCCCAAAGTGCTGGGATTACAGGCGTGAGCCACCGCGCCCGGCGGCATGGCTTTATACACCTCCTTTTTACCTATTTCTTTATGAATATGGTTCATCTGCTCATAACTGTTATACCCATGTGACTGCCATTTATATACCTGAGTATTTATGCTTGCAAAAATATGTATGTTGTTATTGCCTATTTTATTGTGTAAAGTGGCCTATGAGGTGTCCTGTCATGTGCTTACATGTTTTTCAAATAAAACCCCTTTTAAAAGTGTAAATAAATATCTTTTAAAGAGTTTATTATTTTTTTCCAGAATTATATTTTGGGAACTTTGATCTTTCAGGATTTCAACATTTGGGATTATGGCATCCAGGATTGTGCCTCTTGGAATTCTGATCAGTTCTCCTTTTTATGGCATTTTGAACTACCCCTCTCAAATCTCCTCGTGCTTTCTTATGTGTGGCCTCTGTCTTTCCCACCAGAATGTATACTCTGTGAAGGCAGGAAGTGTGCAGGGGCCATGACTTCCTCCTCCATGAAACATTCCTTCACAACCCAGCCTACCTGTGAGCCTCCCAATAGCCTTTGCCAGTGATCCCAGCGTGAGTCCCAGACAGGCCTCTGCTGGTGCATCTGGTGAATGAGGAGATGAGCCCAGCAGAGGTTCCTCACCTCTGCTAAGGGACTAATGTCCCATCAGAGAATCAGTTCATCCTAGGGGAAAAGATACATTTAGCCACTTCTAGAACCTTATAATTAGAGAAGAGGGTTGATAATACAGCTATGGGAACATGAAGGTGGCCTCCATGATAAATCAATATAAGCGATAAGCATCATTTTGTCCTAAAAATGACAATGATTTTGTCCTGAAAATGATGCCTATCACTCATAATGATTTATCCTGGAGCCCATCTCCATGTCCCTGTAGCAGTATTATAGGGAGAAATTGGGCTGTACTCTAAAATTATATATTAAAATTCAGTGTGGTCCTAGGACACAAGCCAATTGCATTCTTTTTTTCTATGATAATGTTACCCAGCCGAGAGAAAGCCTGCACCCTGATTCAGCACAGACCTCCAAGCAGCACTGGTATATCTGTAGCAATGTCCTGCACGAGGTGGCAGAAGCAGCAGCAGGGCCCATCAGGAGACAGGGGCAGTGAGGGAGAGGATGCCAGAGGTACGCGGAGGTGGGGGTCATGGTATTCGGCAGGTGTGGCTTTACCCAGACAAGCAAGAAGCTGCAGCCCCAGCACTAGCTGTAGTGTCCTTGGTTGAAGCTGCAGAGCTACCAGTAGATTCCATCCTGTGCAGAGACTCATCCCCTGAAGACGCCCAGACATGCGTTGGAGAGGTAATGATTTTGTAGAGAATTGGTTTTCTGTATTAGCAGATGGGGCAAGAGCCAAAAAAAAACAAGGAATTACCCTGAAAGTGGCCCCTTCTGTACCTGAGGCCAGTCTAAGGAATCTCTGTTGGCATACAAATAGACTGTGTGTATCACTGGGCTTTACAGATACAATCTCAAACGCTGCGTTATTACTGTGATAGGTACAATCTATGTCTTGTCTCTCTAACCACATACGATAAGTGATGGAGATAAGTCTATCTGAGCACCTTGGCCACTGTTCAAGGAGCTTTAAGGAATGGCATGAGCACATGGTATTATTTTGAGCGTACAGCACAAAGGAAGGCATTACTCATCAGTTTTTACCCCTCTGAGGGTGTTAAACTTGGAAAATGCAAATGGGCTTTCTGCCTTTCAAGGACACAGGGCCAGAACCCCAATTTCTTGATAATCTTGCTATGTAAACATGCTCGTCTCGCCTTTACATCTATTCTCTTCATTATCTACCCACCTCTTTCCCAGAGGAAATTAGAGAAGAAGGGTGTGAAGAGTGAGTGTTGAAGGAGTATGTGGGCAAGTAATTATGATAAAACGGTCCCTCTCTTCAACAACGTTCTAATAACAAAAAGCAATTGCTTTAGGGTCACCTATTATGTTCATTATCCATGCCTTTTCTCCATGCAACAGCACAAGTCATCAATAATAGAGTATGATTGTTTCCTCCCAAAAGACAAGTGATGTGAAATAAACCACAAAGCAACATTGTCTCAGACAAGATTTTTTATGTCCCTGTGCTATTCAAGACTGTTTCTCATTGCCTAGTAATTACCCACCAAGGACCAGCTCTGTAGCCTGCATTCCACAGGAGCAGAGTGACACCTACAATATCCAACAGCCACGGTAATCCATCAAGTGCCCTAACTATGGAGCCTGACCATTTATTACCATACCTTCCATTGACAGTCCCTCCCTATGTTCCCTGAGTGAAGCCTGCCTAAGAGGAAAAAAAAAATGTCTATGTCTACTTGTGATATTATTTTATATATATGTATGTATATTTCCATACACAGGTTTTTGTCCACAGTTCCTGATGCATAACTCCCACAGCCCTTGTTACAATCAACAGACTCTCTCTTTGAACTTCTCCTGCCCTCCTTTTACTTGCCCAAAGAAGGACTCTAATCTGACTGTGGTTCATAAGACCCTCATTCCAGAGGTGGTCCTACCCCATACCCTGGAGAAAGGAATGCTGCAGAGAGGCCAAGAAGAACCTGAACAGACAGGCCTCGCTGGGTTTAGATCGTACCCTTTTTGTCCATTCACATTTCTCCATGGTTGTCAATCCAATGAATGCCTATCCAGTGAAGTCCACATCAAAGGTCCATGAGGACAGGGTTTGGGAGCTTCCAGATAGCTGAACATATAGAGATTCCTGGAGGCCAGCACACCCAGGGAGGGCATGGAAGCTCCGTACCCCTTCCCATATGCCTTTCCCTATGCATCTGTTCGTCTGTATCCTCTGTTATATCCTTTATAATAAGCTGGAAAGTGTAAATGTTTCCCTGAGTTCTGTGAGCTGCTCCAACAAATTAATCGAACCCAAAGAGAGGGTTTTGGGCACCCCAGCTTGAAGCCAGTTGGTCAGAAGTTCTGGAGGCCTGGACTTGCAACTGATGTCTGAAGAGTGGGGAAGTTTTGGAACTGAGGCCCCAACCTGTGTGACCTGATGCTATTTCCAGATAGATAGTGTCTGAATTGAATTGGAGGACACCCTGTTGGTGTCTGCTGCCGAACTGATTTCTTAAACTGTTGGAAGGGGGAGAAATACTCACATACTTTGGGGTCACAGACGTCTTCTATGTTGACTTCTATTGTGTGGGTGTTCAAGTGGAGGAAAAACAGTTTTGAGTTTTCCCTAACACTATCTATATACAAATCAGTGACACCCTTCAAACAAGAGGTCCCTGTTAGTTCAAAGAATGCACCACATTACATTTCATTTGCTCTTGTTCCTATCCTTTCATGCTTTCAGTGGCTTACCACTAGAGGGGACCTATACAGACAAGATGAGACAACATGCAATTATCATCTTTAGTATTCCCACTAGGAAAATTGACTAGCATTCATGTGGAACAATAAAATCAAATTTGCTGGCACTTTATTCCCAATTCATGGGCATAAAAAAAGGATCTAGTGGAGGGGGCAGGTCACTGTGTACTGGGGAAAGACACCAAAGAGGAAGTGCATCTGTATTGATTGTAAACATATAGTTAAAGCACTGAGCTCATTGATTCCAAACATTGTTTTCCTTATTTCTTGTAAAGAAATGTTAGTAATCTTGATTTTGTACATGTTATTTGGAGATCAGAGAATCTCTCTTTAGCATTGTCACTTAACAAACATGTATATATTTAGCACCCTCCTGGGGAGAGAGGCTTCAATGGCTTAGGTCTATCTCATAGGTGAAACTGGTTTATATCCAGTTTAAGGCTGAAAAGCCCCAAAGAGTGTAGGGCAGGTGACAAGTGTATTAGTCCATTTTGACGCTGCTGATAAAGACATAAAGAGACTTGGAAGAAAAAGAGGTTTAATTGGACTTACAGTTCCACACGGCTGGGGAGGCCTCAGAATCATGGCAGGAGGTGAAAGGCACTTCTTACATGGTGGAGGCAAGAGAAAATGAGGAAGATGCAAAAGTGGAAACCCCTGATAAAACCATCAAATCTCATGAGACTTATTCACTACCTTGAGAATAGTATGTGGGAAACCACCCCCATGATTCAAACTATCTCCCACCAGGTCCCTCCCACAACACATGGGAATTATGGGAGTACAATTCAAGATAAGATTTGGGTGGAGACACAGAGCCAAACCATATCAACAAGGATGTAAAACAACTGGAAGATAAATGCCCATTCATTCACTTTTTTCATTCCTTCATCCATCCATCTATCCATTTATCCATTCATCCATCCTTCCATCCATCCATCCATCCATCCATTCATCCATCCACTCATCCATCCATCCATTCACCCATCCATCCATCTGTTCATCCATCCATCTATCCACTTACCAAATTTTCTTCGTGTGCTACTATATGCCAAGCACAGTGGTAGGCACTGCAGTTGCAAAGATGTATTGAACTAAATCTCTAGTGGAAGAGACAAACAAGAAGACAATTTAAAAAAAAGGAAAAAGGAAAAAGGACTTGAATCCACTCCAGCAGCCAGGAAGGGATACGATGCTAAGGTCAGCCCCAAAGAATGCCAGACATTGACCAGTGGGAAAGAGGTTTAGTTTGGATTGGATTAAAATGCCTTTCCCAGGTACTTTGTAGCCATTACTTTTCTCTAATTTTTACCCATTCCCCACCTCTTCACACTCTGCAGCTAAGTCTGATAAAAGCAATATTTTCCTGTATCTTAACAACTTTTTCATTGGCCTTAGCACAAAGTTATAGTGTATTAAGGTTGTTTTTGAACCAAATATGGTGAAATAGTTTCCAGTTTAGAGACAATGCAAAAAGGGTTATTTATTCTTTAAGATAAAGTTTCCTGATAAAATAAATGTATACCTAAGTATACATGTGCTACCTAAGATTTTAAGCTGGACTTTTTACCTTAAATTCTTGCTTTGCTAAGTTTCTTCTTTTTCTTTATTTTTTATCATTTCCTTCATTTTTACATTCTGGCTGCAAGGGTGAGCAAGAAAATCAAATTCAGTTAACAGATATGAGGAAATGTTAAAAATTCTGAATCTCTGAGTACCACATAAGCCCATCTATGCGACATGGGCATAATTTTCCATCCTCCTTAAATTCTTAAATATCATGTGATCCACCCAGTAATTTTAATTTAAATGAGTATTTTTTATATTGAAAAAACAGCCTTAGCACAATCTTCTGTCCTCGAAATGTTTAGTCAGCGTGTATATTGAGCTGTAGAACTGAATAGGGAAATTCTATTTTAGCTTGAGAGAATACAGATTTTATTTCTACTTTTGTGTGCAGAATCTAGTATTGGGTACCTACAGAACTTTAACCTGCTTTTCCATGCTTCTTCAGAACATAAACTTAGCTAACTAAGCCTTTTTGGCTCTTTCCAAAGAGCCAAAGGAAATAAGACATGGTGTCAAAATAAGATGCTGCGTTACTTTTTGTAGCTGCTGTGAAAAAAAAAGTTTATTCCATTTATAAGTAGGGAAATAGATAAGGCTAATTAAAAGGACAGTAAAGTGTATCAAGGAGGCTGGGCGCGGTGACTCATGCCTGTAATCCCAGCACTTTGGGGGGCAGAGGCCCGCAGATCACGAGATCAGGAGTTGGAGACCAGCCTGACCAACATGGTGAAACCCCGTCTCTACTAAAAATACAAAAATGAGCCGGATGTGGTGGCGGGCGCCTGTAATCCCAGCTACTCGGGAGGCTGAGGCAGGAGAATGGCATGAACCCAGGAGGCAGAGATTGCAGTGAGCCGAGATCGTGCCACTGCACTCCAGCCTGGGCTACAGAGCGAGACTCCATCTCAAAAAAAAAAAAAAAATGCATCAGGGAAAGAGACTACAATCTGGCTCCTAGCTTGGGAACACTTTGGACACACAGAGAATACGATAATATTATTCATCTTTGTTGCAACCTAATGATTCACCTGTGACCATTTCATCACTCCCATGACTATTGCTTTTCATGACAGAATGTTTATCATTCAGGTAAGACAGGTTCTACCACCAAAAAGTTGACAATTGAGACTCTCCTACATGCAGTCTTGAATTTGACTCTAAGGGAAGATAAAGCCATTAAGTTGATCTTACATGTTAACCGTATTTGCCAGGTTATGCAATTTCTTCTTTCATTAAACTGGGAGCCAGGTGGTCTGAGGTCTAGCCTGGCTCTGCAACAGACAAGCTATGAGATTTAGGGACTGCACTTGATCACTGAGCACCTCAATTTGTTTGGCTGTCAACTATGGAAGGGGAATTAATAACCTCTAAGATCCCTCCTGGCTCTTAGGATGTAAGAATCTGTAATGAATGGATGGAAGGATGCAATCCTTCAAGGTTAGCAGAAGCCACTATACTCAGAGAGGCCTCTGCTCAAGTATAGAAGGGAACTATTTCTGATTCTTCAGACAATGCCACTTTCTAAATACAATTTGTTGTGCTTCTGTGTTTCTTCTGATAACAGCCTGTTTTAGGCAGGATATTTCTTCTTAAAGCTAATGACCAAAGAGTTGTTCACCTCCTTGCCTCCTTACTGTTTTCTATGAATTAAGGTAATTAAAGTTAGAAGGTTATCATTTTTATTTCATTTTAAAGGTTGGTTGAGTGAAGTAGAAATAATTTCTAAGCAATGGAGTCACAGATCACAGAATTTCAAAGTTTAAAGGAAAACTACAAAGGTTTCCAAGTTTCTCTTGTGATAATTCAAAATCAACAGGAACCTTTGTTGTTTTAAAACTATTTTAATTTAAAGTTACTTTAATTGCATTTTTTTAGGCCTTTAACAGTTTTGATATCCAATGTGTCTGAACTGGGGGGCAGGCACAGATTGATGAAAGTGAAGGTTAAATAAATTTGTGTGTCTTCTTTACGTTTGTGTAAAATATTGCTAAAATTGCAGGATTATGGGCTGGGCACGGTGGCTCATACCTATAATCCCAGCATTTTGGGAGGCTGAGGCAGGAGGATTGCTTGAGCTCAGGAGTTCCATACCAGCCTAGGTGACATGCAGAGTCCAGCCCAGGCAATATAGTGAGACACTACCAAAAAAAGAAAAAATGTTATAGGATTATGAGCGATAGATATATGGTAGATAATTTACTAGTTTTTAAAAAATATTGGTCATAGAATTATTTGTATATGTAATTTAAGAGCAATTTGTATTTGTGAAACTATACTATTACTAAAACTTTTGTAATGGATGCTATTCATGTTATGGAAATAATTTATTATTAGATGATTTTAATCTTTTTATCTATTAAACTTACAAAGCTAAGTGGCAGTTCCCTGAAATTTCTGTAAACATGCGTTATTTATTTGGCAGCTTGTCTTTCATATTTAAGTGTTTGAATTTAGTTGTGTTTTTAAACTTTTCTTGATATAGGTTATTTTAGATTATGCAGGTCATTTTGTTTATTTATTATTATTATTTTTGAGACAGAGTTTCCCTCTGTTGTCCAGACTGGAGTGCAGTGGTGCAATTTTGGCTCCCTGCAACCTCCGTCTCCCGTGTTCAAGTGATTCTTGTGCCTCAGCCTCCCAAGTAACTGGGACTACAGGTGTGCACCACCATGCCTAGCTAATTTTTGGATTTTTAGTGGAGACAGTATTTCACCTTGTTGGCCAGGCTGCTCTCAAACTCCTGACCTCAGGTGATCTGCACACCTCAGCCTTCCAAAGTGCTGGGATTACAGGCATGAGTCCCCACACCCAGCCTATGTAGGTCATTTTAGATTAGTGTAAAGAACATGCTTTGCAACTATTTTGAAAACAAATATCATAAAACCCAGGACTTTTCAAGAATACATGTGTATCAACATGATAAAGATGCAAACTACTGTCACCTTCAATATTTGTGTAATAACATGTGTCTCGATTACTTATTTGCTATTAAATTAGGTTAGTGCCTAAAAAAAAGATTTCAAAATTACAAACACAAAGTTAGATATGAAAGTAGACGTTATTTCTCTGCTACTCCTTCCATGCTTCTGGTGCTGGACCTCATAGTATTCACTCATACTGCACTACCAGCTCTCGCCCTGTACCTTTGGACCTCTGACTTTTATGGAAAGAAGAAAAACTTCATGGACACAAACAAGAGGCATTTTACCAAATTTGTGAACTGTAATCTTTTCAGACAGGATTCATGTAGAAAAACAAAAACTACTCAAGGCAGGAAGTTCATATAGGAATAAGTTATACAGGTGATAAGTGATTGGAAAACTCAAACATGGGACAGTGAGGCACTTAACAACAGCAGACAGCCACTTCGACCCCCACAGCTAAGTGACAGTGGATAAAGCTACCAGAGCCCAGCCCCACCCCATCTGCTGATAACAGAGCAAGGAGCTTCTGGAAGGAACTGGAGCCTCTGTGTATTCGTCATCTTTGACAGTGGAACACATCAACCTAAGCCCTGTGGCTTAAAACAACATCCTGTACTTTCTCACGGTTTCTGTGGGTGAGGAATCCAGGCATGGCTTAGCTGGGTCCCCTGTCTCTGTGTTGCTCAAGTCTATAATCAATGTATTAGCCAGGCAGGGCTGCAATCATGTGAAGGCCCAACTGGGGGTGGGGCTGCTCACTCAAGCAATGGTTGGCAGGACTCAGCTCATCCCTGGTGGTTGGCCAGAGATCTTCCTCAATTTCTTCCCACATCAGGTAGCTCACAACATGGTAACTGGCTTCATCAGAGCAAACAGGTGAGAAGGGAAGAAAGCATGGGAGCAATGGAGAAGTCACAATCTCTTCTTCACCTAAGCTTAGAAGTGACATCCCATTACCCTTGCCACGTTCTATTCATTGAAATAAGTCCAGCTCACATTCAAGGAGAAGGTGTTACACAAGGGCATGAATACTAGGAGGGTGGGTTCTCTGGAGCCATTGCCAAAGCCCCCTACCATGCAGGGAGACACAGACATGGCCAAGGACCGCAGAGGAATGGAAAGACATAGGAGAAGACCCTAGTTCCTCCATTTCTCTCACACTCTAATCTTCTAGTAGGACCCCCGACTGGCCAGGTAGCTTCAGAAATGTAGTTCCATGTGCTACAGCAGAGCAAAGCGAGGGCAAGGGTTGGGTCTGAGAGCAGACTGACTACTCATCAGCATAGCATCCTTTTATATTTTCTGACATGACTGCACAAACAACACAAGCGAATTCTGTCTACAGAGAACTATTTCACGGTATTTGCAGCTCTTTCTAGGACTGAAGGATATTATGTTTGTTCTCTTGTGAGGTTGTGAGGTGGCTCTGTGCTATATTCCAACCTTCCAATCTATCAAAGGGCCCCCAGCACACACACACACACACACACACACACACACACACACACTCAATTCTTGCCCGCACAGTGGAGTTTTCTTACTTAGTCAGGGACAGGCAAAACATACCAGGTCCTCTACAACTATACCCCAAAGAGGATACCTTTAAATGAATGGGATTAACTGTGACTCTCCAAAATGTATTTGATCATCAAGACAAATCTTGGGATATTTGGTTAATACCACAAAGAGGAGGCACGTTACCCGTGAGTCCATTATGACTTCTCCTATTTGAAAAAATTTGGCAGAATTATTGCAATAAATCAAAACTCTCTCTTCTTTTCTATAAGTGTCACACATAATCTCTAGAGAGCAACAATAAATAAATGAATGAATAAAGTACACCTTTATTCATGTAGCTTATACATGAATCTTATAAAATTCCTTCTAGCAGATTATATTTTCCAAAGATGTCTGCATCCCATATATTTTTCATCCCATATATTCTAGGGCCTTGCCACACCCCTATCAAGAGATGGCAATGATACTTCCCTTAAACTTGGGTGTGTGTTTACAATTGACTTGACTGATGGAGTATGGTAGATGTGATGCTTGGTAACATCTAAGGAGAGATTATAAACATGCCACAGACCTTCATTGTTCTCTTGCTACGTTCTCTATTGAAACCCAGCTTCCATATTGTGAGGAAGCCCAGCAGCTACATAGAGGCCCACATGGAGGGAAATGGAGGCCTCTGGCTCCAGACCCTGATTTCCTCCATCCAATAGCCAAAACCAGCTAGTTAGTGACATGAGTAAACCATCTTGAAAGTGTATCCTTCTGTTCCCTATTGAGCTTCTCCAGCTGACGCCCTTGGAGCAGAAAAACTATCTCCACTGAGCCCTGTCCAAATTACAGATTTGTGAGTAAAACAAATGGTTATTGTTCCTTTAAGTCACTATGCTCTGAGGTTGTTTGTTATACAGCAACAGAAAACTGGAACACACCTTTTGGGCATCCCTCAAACTGCCCCCCACCTCCAAAAAACAGGCAGGGTACATCAGTTAGGAATATGTTTGGCTAGAAGTCACAGAAAACCTGACATAAAAGTGGCTTGCACAGACAGGGATTTCATTTGCTCACATAGCAGGAAGATTGGAGGCAGAGGGCTGCTGGCATGGTTTTGGAGGCTTAACTCTGTCTGGTTCATTGCCTCTGAAATTCTCTTGGCATTTCCCCACGTGTGTTGCTTCAGTGGAATAGGTAGGGCTGCCCTGGCTCCAGGAACAATGTCTGTGTAGCAGGTAGGATAGAGAAAGGGAAAGAGGTGGATTAGGCCCGTTTGTTTCTTTTGGCCTCCCCTCAAACTCTTCCAGCCTGTCAGTCACAGGTGTCCCTCCAGCCAGAAGAGAGGCAAAAACAATGAATATTCACCTATATCCCTGCTGTAGCAGAGAGTAACAAGGGAGCAGGGGATTGGGGTGGGCTCTGGGGAAGCCAAACAAAGTGCCCAGTACTTTACAAGGGCTGGGATCCCTACATGAGATAAGAAGTCATTGAGTGAGAAGCAACAGGACTCCAGAAAAAAAAAAAAAAAGACTAAGATAAATGAGAAGTCAGGCCAGTCTTAACAGTCAAGAAAAAAAATGCAACATAGATTTGGTTGTCACATATTTCATATTTTCAAAAATTGGCAAAACTCCATCTCCATATATGACTCACTTAGACATCTCCTCCAATTCTTCAAATACCTCTTTGCAGATAGTTCCCAAATTTCCCTCTGCCACCCTGCTCCTCCTCGAATTCTAGCTCCACATTTGCCATAGTCTCAAGTCAGATAGCCTCCTATCACTTCCAGACCAGTGCATCTGACACTGACCTTGCCTGACTTCTACGCCAGTTCCCTGTCTGTCTCCCCTGTTCTTGCTAAATGTCAGTCGTCTTTTAGCTCTCACCAATTTATCTGTATTCCACCTTGTGAGATTTGTCTTCTCTCTCTGCTTTTCCATTTCCCCTACCACCAACTTAGTTTAGGGTCCTATTGACTTTCCCTAATACTAGTGTAGTAAACTCCTTACTGGCTTTTTCACCTTCACTTTCTTTTTCTTCTAACCTATCCTATACTCAGTTGGGATATTAGGAATGACTTTTATATGGTTTGATATAGTTTTGTAATTTTCTAGGAAGATAATGTGGGCTACATGAGTGGTTTCTCCAGCAATATTGTCTGCCCTTTTGTAAATAAACACATCATTTGCTCATCAACGGGTCTTGGGCCAGGGCTTAAGGGTACGACAGTGGGCTCAACTTTAATACCTTCAAGACACAGGAGGCAGAGAGGCTGATTAAGTCTTACCAATGAAAGACCTTTCCGACTTTCAAGAGCAAAAGAAAGGAAATTCTGTTGTTTCCAACATGTACAGATAGCTTGATCTTTCACATTAAAAAAAAAAAAATCCTGAATTCAGGCCAGGTGTGGTGGCTCACACCTGTAATCCCAGCACTTTGGGAGGCCAAGGCAGGTGGATCACTTGAGGTCAGGAGTTCGAGACCAGCCTGGCCAACAAGGTGAAATCCCATCTTGACTGAAAATACAAAAATTAGCTGGGTGTGGTGGTGCATGCCTGTAATCCCAACTACGCGGGAGGCTGAGGCAGAAGAATTACTTGAACCCAGGAGGCAGAGGTTGCATGGAGCTGAGATCATGCCACTGCACTCCAGCCTGGGTGACAGAGTGAGACTCCATCTCAAAAAAACAAAACAAACAAACAAAAAAACAAACCCCTGAATTCCTGTGTGTGCCTGTTCTTCAAATTGTCTTCTAACCCGTTAGTGGTGGCGTCTTGCTTAGATATGCATTTCCCAGCTGAAGTGTCCAATGAACCTCACGTTTCCGTCATTCTGTGAGCATGTAAACTCATTTTTACTGCTTCTTCCCACTACCCTCCACCCCTGAATTATCAACTTGAACAAACTGGGCCAACTCAGCTTGATATATAACATTACCAAATTAAGCTTGACAACAGCTCTGTTCTTGCAACGTCTCTGTTCAGAAATCTTTACTGGTACCTCCTTCCCTGAAAACTTCATTTTCTATACCTCCCTCCATGATGGGCCAATGCTTAACCTTCCATGCCCATCTCTCATTCTGGTCCAATTGTCCTCTTGCCTCTAGCCTGGTGTGCCTGTGATTTTCTGCTGTCAACTGTTGGCTCAGACTGCTGCTTCTGTTTCAAACACACTCTTCTCTCTTAAAATCTAGTTTAAAAAATGTGAGTTTTCCCAGAAGGTATAGGCATTTATTTAAGTAACTTACTTAAAAAGAGCTCACTTTATCTTTTTTTTTTTTTTTTTTTTTAGACAAAGTTTCGCTCTTGTTGCCCAGGCTGGGGTGCAATGGCATGATCTCAGCTTACCACAATCTCCACTTCCCTGGTTCAAGCAATTCTCCTGCCTCAGCTTCCCGAGTAGCTGGGATTATAGGCATGTGCCACCATGCCCAGCTAATTTTGTATTTTTAGTAGAGACAGAGTTTCTCCATGTTGGTCAGGCTGGTCTCAAACTTCCGATCTCAGGAGATCCACCTGCTTTGGCCTCCCAAAGTGCTGGGATTACGGGCATGAGCCACCACGCCCGGCCGAGATCACTTAATCTTTATAGTGTGGGTTTTATCACAATGTCTTATATAAATTTGACACTCAGTGAATATTTGTTGAAAGAATGAATTGAGGGTCATTTATCCATCAGCTATTTACCAAATAGACAGGTCTAATTTAGAAAAGTCTTGCAACGATTACCTGGTTAATTAATTGTCTTCTGTATTCTGTGATGCTTCACCTGCCACTTTGTACAGCAGCATTTGTCCTGCATTACCCTTTACGTGATGGCCCTGACATAAACTATTGATCATCCAATCACAGTCATTCCATGTGCTAATTTCCCCATTACTACATCCTACTACATACAACCTCATACTTAGCTTATATCTCTTGCAGCTCCTCTAGTTCTTGTCCTAATATCACAATAGAAGTTAAGTGCAAGGGGAAGTTTGGAGGGAGATATCAACATATATATAATAGATGATCTCAATTCTGCCTACTGCCTGAAAGGCTCTATACATTGAGTTGCCCTAAGTTCTAATCTTGGCCTTGACCTGTTCAATAACTAAAGCACTTACTAAAGTGGATGCACTCTACAAATTAATTCTGCTTATTCATCTCTGGTTTGCAGCTAGGAAAAGCAGAGGCCTTACTCTTAGGTCTATTTGGCATTATGAGACATTGTAGATGCAACCTTCATTCCCTTCTGCAGTTTCTCTGCCTTTTATCAATAGCTAGTGGAAGACTCCCTTTTCTCCCTATTTCAAAGCATGACCTTCCTTCCATTTGAATATCTTTCAGAGTTCCTAAGGAATCCTCTATTTTTAAATTTGCTTGCAAATCCATGAGGTCCCCAAGCTCCACCCTTCCTCAGATCTGTGTTCTTACACTGCTCTACATTGCAATTCTTATACCCTCTTGTCATTTAGGAAGGCTTTCCAAGCCCAGGAGAGTTAATTTTGGAACATAAAGCTTGAAGGTTTACCAAGTTTAATTACTTTCCATACAGCTAATAATAAAAAACCATCCCCTGTGCCCTCCCTAAAAGGATGATAATCATTCCTCCACATAAGGGAATGGAACATGTAAAACCAGCAGACGGCATAAACGTTGCTGAAAACAGTATCTCCTGATGATAGGATCTTGCCTAACCTTTTTCAGGCTCTGATTCTGTTCTGTAACTAGAGAATTCTAGTAGCTGCTGCCCTGAGCGGGCACAGCTGAAGATTACCAAGTAGATTTTAGCTGAATCTTTGAATCCTTCACATTTGGTGCGTATTAAATATTTTTGGCACTAATTAGCTACATAATTTAGTCACAGGGAGACTTCCATCTAATTCATGGACATATTTCCCATTATCCCTTGGGTTTTTTTTTTCACCCTTCTTCTTATATCTCAGATTAGCAGAATTACTATAACTCAGAAATTAAATTATACAATGTCAGGACTACTGTTAGTAAAAAATCAAATGTTAACTTTAGAGATTTTTTTCCAATTAGTTTAAGAGTTCACATAGACATCTTTTGTAATCAGAAAACACACAAATATTTTGTGTTGATATTTTATTCCTATTATGTTAATATCATCTCATTCCAAGTTTATATTCTTTTAATTTGATACCTAATGCTCTCAGGCATTTACTTTTCTTAATAGCTTTCAGTTCAATGCTGGCTGTATTAAAAAAGAAATCTGATGACTTAAAAAAACACAGTCATAATTTACTGGATGAGGAAAATAGTGCATGAATGGGAAAACGAACACAACCATCATCTGTGTGTCTGTGTGTGACTTTTGTCATATGAATGATGGCATCAAGTCACATGAGGCATACTTTTTAAGTTCTCTTAGATGATAATTTGGGACAATAGTGATTGGCTGCCAAAGTTTACAGAGTTGATACAGGAGTGAGGTCTAGTATGCAGAAATGTTTTAGATTCAAAATCAGAACTCATAAGTGCACTTTTAAAATGAGAATGTTCTTCTGATACTCACTGCAGTTCCCAGTAAAGAAACTGACACCCTGAGAAATGACACCATTTTCTCAAAGGCACATGGTTAGGCAAGGTCATGGAGTGGAGGCTTTTGACTCCCCTGGCAGTCTTTAACCTATACAATTTCTCTCCACCCCCAGCCCATCTGCTGATTCTGGGCATGGCATCTGTATTTGATCCAGCTTCTCAGAGCATATCAACTGTAAGCCAATTGGATGTAAATATAAAGAGAGCAGAAAACTCTTTTACCAGGCAGCTGGAAAGTTTCACTTGGAATTTATTTTTAGCATCTTGTGTGTGCTCAGGAGCAACCATGGCAACAAAGGCACCTGGAAGAGCCCCTTAGAGGGAAAAGAGATAGCACCAGAGGGACGCTGCCTCATCTCCATGGGTAATCGGTGACAGGCTGGACATGTCCCTGTCACTAGGAAAGCCATCACCAGAGAAGAATAATCTCAGAATCAGCAGGGCTCACCTCCACTTAGGGAATAAATGACTGATGAGATCATCTACGTGAACCTGTCTTCCCTCCCCTTCCTTACCTTCCTTTCCCAGCACTGATACAATGTGTAAATACAGCTTTAGTTTCTGTCCACTTTGAGGTCTGATCATATGTCATGTTTTATTTACTACGGTCCTTCATGAAACTTCGAAACCACATAGCCACAAGAGAGGAAATGAACCCTTCAAGACCTCAGGCTACCATGCTGTGAATGGCTTCAAAGGCATTCATTAGTCTTTATCATCTCAGCAAGGACAAAGTCAGAAGTTCAGCCTCTTTTCTCTCAAAGAACAGGTGAAAAGAAAGCTGAGGGCAGGATGGTGCAGGAGAGAACACACCAGCCAGAGAGAAGCCAGGGCTGCAAGAGACTCCGCAGTGTCTGGTGAAAACTGGAACTCAAACCAGCTTTATACATTTCTCCTTCCCCAGGTCAAACACTTACCAGGAGGAAGATGACATTAACTCGTGGTAAAGAGCCCGGGGCCAATTCAAGAAATTCTTCCATTTTTGAAATTCTCTGTCTAGTTCTCTGAATCCTGGCAGACTCCAAGAGTGATTTTTTTTTTTTTTTTTTTTGAGACAGGGTCTCATTCTGGTGCCGAGGCTGGAGTACAGTTGCTTGATCATGGCTCACTGCAGCCTTGACCTCCTGGACTCAGGTGATCCCCCCACCTCAGCCCCACAAGTAGCTGTGACTACAGGCATGAGCCACCACACCCAGATAATTTTTGTATTTTTTGTAGAGATGGGATTTCATCATGTTCCCCAGGCTGGTCTCCAACTCCTGGGTTCAAGTGATCTGCCTGCCTCAGCCTCCCAAAGTGCTGGGATTGCAGGTGTGAGCCACTGTGCCCAACCGCCATGAGTAATTTATCCATGTCACAGTTCCCATGCTTGAGACAAGACTCTCAGCTTTCTGACCTGCACATTCAAGACCCACCCCTATGTCATTTCTTCTCTTACATTTTGTAAAAATGCAGTTCTCTCCTTTTTGCTTTTTGGGAAAATATCCGCACTAAACATATCTAATGTTCACAGTTTATGAAAGGGTAGACCCAATGAAATAGATATACTTTAGCTTAGTCTTGGTCATTTAGCATTTCTCTGCCTAGGTGCTTTTTCACAAGGACTTCAGAAAATGTTGAATGTTTCTAGTTAAATTTGGTACATTTCCAAAGAATATAGATACACATTGCATTGAATTTGCGGTTCAATGTTATCTTGAAACGTGATAGTGACTGATAAAGTGTTTGCCACAAGCATGTCTTCTATAATTTTAAACACATTTCAATAAAATCCAAAGTTTCAGAATGATATCAGTACACCGAATTGGGCCCGTCTACAGTCCTCTTATTCAATCACATTCAAGACCTAGGACAGTGTTGTTCACAACGAGGTATTTAATAAATAATAAATAGAGCAGGAAAAGAAAACCATCATTATAGTCACATGGCTGGAAAGACCTCTATTGATCTTTACTTCCCCACAAAACCACATAAATATATAATGGTGTTATTGAACCAGCTTCCACCAAGCAAATGAACTATGGCATTTCTAAGAGATATCCATATTATTACGGAAAAACATCCTACAGATAAAATTAAAAGCAAGTCTTTTATTTGACCCCAAACTAGGAAAGACTGAGGGAAAGATAATCAATTTATGCTTATTTTCTGTTCCTAAAAAAAATTCTATGAAGCATTGTTGATGCTCAGAGTTGGGAGAAATGAAAAAAAAAATCAGTGATTCATTTTTCCCCCATAAACTTGCAGCCGCAATGTACAGATCCATATTATATTGGGATAAGTCAATCACCAATCTAAATTACTAGGTAACTACTATGTACTTACTAGAGACTAAGCCCAAATGCAGAATAAAGGATGGCCCAGGGAATAAATTCTTAGTGCAAAGAAGCTGCTGTAAACTTAGAAGCAGGAGCCCACTTCTAAGGGCTCCCCAGGATCACAGTGTTCGAAGGATCATCATTCACAGTAGCTACAGTCCAGGTGCAGATGAGGGCAAGCAGACATCGAGGCTCGCAGTACAATATACACATTCAGAAGAGGTTCTGTTTCAGGAGAAATGATGCAAGACATTGGTTCTAAACTCTCTTGGTTTCAAAAGAGGATCCTGTTCTTAATTTAGAATGTTTGTAATATATGCATTAGAAAGGAAAGCTTTGAATAGAAAATAAATTCCCCTCTGTATTGCTGATTGGGAAATGGCCACCATATAATCTCTCCAGGAATGTGATGAAATTGCACTTCCAGTTGTATTGCTTTCCCTGCCAAAAATGAAATCCTTCTTTTTAACTGATTTTTCCTCACAATAGATAACAGACAACTTTGAATTCTACATAAAAATAATTATGGAAACAATTTTAAAAGACCTATTGCAATATCTTCAGATCAATTCCAAGTGAACAAATCATGGTGACATTTGCTTGGCCATGTGACATGGAGGCAGTTGGTATCAGACTCAGCATCTTTATGCTACACAGTAAGACAAAATCTGAGCTCTTAAACTTTAGACATGAAGGAAAAAAACACACACACACACAGCAGCCCAAATTGAGAAGCTGAAGACAGCCTTCAGGAAGATATAGGTACTATGTATCTCACACCTAAATGTCCTCCATAAATAGATAATATGATTGATCCAGAAGTAGACTGTGCTGAAGAAAAGAAGAAGAAAATGAACTAGATAATTTTCCAAAGCCTCTCATCCACCAGCCCTTCCCCTAAACCTGAGGGCTGCACACTTGCTTATGCTATCTTGATCTCTGCCTTAGAGAAAGAAGCCTAGGGGGACAATTTCTCTTACGAAACACATCACAGTTCATCTCTTCTTTGCAAGGATTTATAACAAGAGAAAGAGACACATTTATTTTCTTGTAACTGTAGGCAGCAAGACATCATTGAAAATGCATGAGAATTGCAGTTGGTAAATCTGAGTTCAAGGTCAGAGGGGAAATTTCATCTCTCTGAGATTTGGCATACACATCTGTAACCAGGGACTAATAATTCCTACACAGTGGAGATATCTTGAGAATTAAAGGTCCTAAGGCCTATGAAAATGGTATGCAAACGTTGATCTAGAAAGGACCAGGGAAAATCATCTTGACCACTCTAGCTCTCGGCAGGATCACATCTCAGTTTTCCTGGACTGAATTAAACAAGTTCAGAGAAGGAACTAAAATGGAAAGTGTTTGATAACATTCCAAAGGCACAATACATAAATTCTTATATTATAGCTTCAGTCCCTGTGGCTTTCTTTGCATCTCAGTGAAGATGGAAAATTTACCATATAATTAATGGCTTTTGTTTTCACGAAGCCTGTAGTATCACTTCTCAGCCATTTCTTTTAGAAACGGAATACTGCCAAAACTTTAACTGTTCCTTAAAACTGTGTTTGGAGGTATGCTGTACACTCTCTCCAATTACTCTAGCTCATTTTTTTCTGGGACTCAGAATTCTGTTAGTATGGATTCAGGTCCCGTTCTGATGCAGTACTTTATGGTTCCTACTTGGGATGCACTCAGCCTTTTTATCCTACTGATAGGACATCAGCTCCTTATCTACTGTAGCCCCTCAATCTTTTCCTGCCATTTATGTATATAGAATTGTTTTGTCTTGTATTTATGCATTTTCTCTGCCCTTGATGTACTTTTCTTAGTTCAAGTTGCCGGTTTATTGAAAACACAATAAATTCCTATAGTCCTATATTTCAAGATCTCTGCCCCACATATCTTAGTGTTAACTGCGAAACCAATGAAGGATACTCTCATTCCACCATCCAGGGGTTATGCAGTGCTGGGTCTAGAACCAATATCCTGTGAGCAATGATTGCCATGAAATTTTAAGTTGGTATTGCTATTTTTAAAAGTCCTCTCTTGCACATGAATTCCCCACCATGTGTATGGTCATATAATAACTATGAGCTAAGTTAGCTCGTGTAGCCCTAGTATTTTCGTATGATACATAGACCAGAATAAAAGTCTCTGTGAAGCTAAGATACCAGTGATTTTCTGGGGTTCTCCCTGGCTTATTTTCATCAAAGAAAAGGACTTGATTGGCCTGACCAGGTTTGTATTTCATAAAGCTGCGTTGGTGGCTAACCAGGATTTTTATCCTCTTTAAGGCAATTTCAAAATGAGTTTTTCTGGGATATAAGCAAATAGTTAATCTTCACTGAATAGAGCAGATTCAACGCTGACTCTTAAGGGCTGGGAGATTTTTGCTTTGAGCTGACCATTTACACATTTTCACAAAGAAAAGATAGTGACTTGGGTAAACACAGACCTCTCTCCTTAGAACCTTTCAGCAACAAGCTGGTAACTACAGTCCTTTATGATAGCAATAGGGGAAATGTATCCTTTCCCTACCCTCTGCCCACCATTAACTACTATAGTCTTGTTAACAGATGAAATAAATTTGATGTATTAATTCAGCAAAAGCCACATGTTCTGAATTAAAGGAAGCAAAATGACTTTAGGTAAAACAGGAAACGTTGTGAATCAGCTGCTGTTTTGGTAAGTCAGCCTTCCACAGCCAAACTGATGCCTGTTACAAGTTTTCAGCCTTCCACAGCTGAACTGATGCCTGTTACAGGTTTTCAGACTTCCACAGCCTGACTGATGCCTTTTACAGGTTTTCAATCAACTTGACAATAATAATAGCAGAGGTAACATACCAGCTTATTCGAAGAGAAGTATTAAATAACATAAGATTTCCCACTCGGATCTAATTTCTTCACCTCATGCTTTAAAACACTGAAGGGGAAGGTGTACAAAAACCTTGTTTCACCCAACTTTGGCACCTTCTCTGTAGTACTTATGTATTTTATCCTTCAAAAAAGCTTTTTGCAACTCACACTAAAATCATCAATATATCTAGAGAGGCACTTTCCTCCACTACTGCAATTTATTTCCTCCAGGCCCATTGACTTTCTCAAAATGGACACAAAAATCACAGTTTTTTCATCTTGAAGATTTATTCTAACCACAAGAGCCTTCTACAGCATTTACACCAGAGTGTCTCACTAAAATGTACCAAAATTTTATTTTTAATACAATGCATTGCATATGTGAAGCAGCTCTTGGCAGAAAAGCAATTTCTACAAAATAATCTCTCACCGTGTGCCACATAGATTCAAGGATTCAAGTGATATTAAGAGGTTTCAAAGGATAATTTTTTTCTTGTGGGTGAAAAATGGAGATGTTGAAAAATGAAGCAGCTTGTCTTAAATTGACTCATTCAATAAATAGTGAATATTTAATATGTGTTATAAAGAAACACGTATTGGGAATTATAAAGAAACTGCATGACATGTCCCTTTGCTTCATGCACTTGCATTTATGTTGGAAGATGACAAGACTAGCATGCGTAAATAAGAAAAAGAGCACATTGTCATAGGATCTAATATTATGTCTGAGCATGGAAGTAATACTGGAGGTAGGAAAAGTTGGTTGTTACGTGTGGGGAGAGATGGGAAGATTTAAATAATCTCTATGACTCTGTAATTCTATGACGACTGATCACAGTGGGCCAGGTCCTATGGGTAGAGCTTGAAGCAAAGCTCAAATATTCCTGCTTCTAAATGTAATGCCTGTCTGTCCATTCCTAGACACGTTCAGGACCCCTGGCTCTTTGCAGCCAAGTTCATACTTAGTAACTGACTTTCGAAGGGAGTTATGGGATTCACAACCTCAAGTGTTCAGGGAAGCCAGACACGTGATCTGAGAGTCCATACCCTGTCTGTGGAGGAGAGGAGTTACTGTGTCTTCTTACCTTTAGTCGATGGAAGTCATGCTACCTAATTATACCAGAACTCCCAGCTTTTCAAGACAAGTTATAAGCATATATTTTATGGGAGATCTTATGATTTTTAAGAGTTGTCTGCCATTTTGTACTTTGTGACCTCTGCTTTGGGTAATTCTAACAATTTATGGTGAGATCTCATCTATTAGACTGAGATCTCAGAGAGTGAACATACATGGTTTAGCAATGAACAGTGTCATAGGCTGTAAACCATTATCTCCCTAGACCATTACATTGATAGGTGCTTATCAGTGAGTGATTGTGAGGGAACTGTCTACCTGACTCAATTGGCCTTGAAGTATCCTAAGAGGCTTCTGAGGTGCAGCTACTCTTGAGTTTAAGAATATTCTAAATAACCAAACTGGCCAACAGCTATAACCCGTTGGAATAGACAGAACCACCTAATAGATGAATGGCCTCAAGTTAGAGATTTTTACTTTCCTGAAGACAGGCACATGCCAAATAACATTCCATTAATGATAACAGAAGAGTGATATTTTTCCCCATACAGTACAAGAGACTCAGGAGAAACCTGAACTTGGAAATAGCCTATGTAGTACTTAGCAAGCCATCTGGAGAATGGTTATCATTGGACTGCATTTCCTAACACAGTTGATTAGAGTCCCTTGTAATTAATAGTCCTTTATGTCTCTGCATGCCATTGCACGAGTGCATGGGCAAGAGAAGCAAGGACCAATGCCAAAGATGTCACCCAACCTGTCCTGAGTGGTCACCTTCCCAACACAAGGACTGAACAAAAAGCACATCTAACATGAGGCTGGTGGGCACAGAGCTGTGTAGATAAATGCCAAAAGGTCTGCTGTGAATGGCACACTAGAAACCAGCTTTCCTGCTGCTCACCCATTTAGATAAAGAAGTTCATTGGAAATACATATGGCATATAATTTATATTAGGGGCAGGGAGACTGGGGGAAAGGTCCATTAAAGAGGAGAATGACTGAACCCCAGTGCTGTAAGATTGGGGGAGATGTCAGTTATCTCATTTGGTCCCTTTCTTCTGGAAAAGCCGATTACTACCATGTAATTGATGGGCCAGGAGAGAGCCATAAAACCATGGAGAAGAGGAAACAGATGAATCCAGACTATTAAAAAACATGAGGTAGAGCTTACAGATCATCATCCTTTATTTTTGAAGGATGTTCAAAATGGAGATGTTGAAAAATGAAGTAGCTTGTCTTAAATGGACCCATTCAATAAACAGTGAATATTTAACATATGTTATAAAGAAACACGTATTGGGAATTATAAAGAAACTGCATGACATGTCCCTTTGCTTCATGCACTTGCATTTATGTTGGAAGATGACAAGACTAGCATGCGTAAATAAGAAAAAGAGCACAGTGTCATAGAATATAGAATATCCTCAACCAAATACAGGATAGAAGAAAACAATGTTAATTACTCTCAAAGGTTGTCCTGTTTTCTTCTTCCTGTGAAATTTTACTTACAAAGAACACACACTCCACCTCTCATGCCTTTTTCACTGAACTTTTTGTATTCAGTGTTTTCAGATGTTTGACAGTTGTACTGTAACAGGCTAACATATAAATACTTTTCGATAGCAAGGTCCAGAAAAAGGGTTTTAATTTTACAGACCAAGGGAAAAAAAAAGAAGAAAGTGAGAGTGCAAATTTTCCCATTTCCAAGTTATAGACTCATTGACGATCTTTGTCCACACACACCCTGGGTTTCCAATCCACCTCCCTGTGAAAGGAGCCTTGGAGAGCCTGTGTGGGGCTCAGGGGAAGCAGGAGAGTAGCAGCCGCAATGCCTGGAGCCAGAGGACACGTTCCAGATCATGTTCCAGAACACATGGCAATGGTCAGTTGTGGAGAGGTGCCAGCAAATGAGAAACAGAGAAGCAAGGGGCTGGGTTAGCTTGAGGAGGCCAGGTCCACGGCTGAAAGGTTGGAGGTACATGGAGAGCCACAATGAGGACGTGTGAGTTAAACGAGTGGGAGTGGAGAGGACGTTTACACCCTGCTTAAGACTGCTGAGTATTGCTGTCAGCAGCAAGGCATCCATTTGGTGGAGCTATGTCAAGAAAACAGGACAGAGAGAACACTCCATTGAAAATGCTTTCCTTCTTCTAGGCCTGCAGCAGGCCACTCTTCTAGAAAAGCCTGCTCTGAATTCATTCTCTCTAGGAGCACTTGGTTCATCAGCAGACCCCCTCCCCCACTTCCATTTAGCCTGAATGTTTATTTTCTGTCTTGTCAACATGAATATATACAGGAGGCATCAACTACATTTTTGCCCAGCTCAAAGTTTATCTTGCTGGGTGTAATGGCTCACACCTGTAATTGCAGCCATACAGGCTGAGGCAGAGAATGGCTCCACCAATAATTCAAAACCAGCCTGGGCAACATAGAGAGATCTCATTTCTAAAATCAACCCCCCGCCACCTCTCCAAAACCCAAAGTTTATCTGAGCAAGTGTGGGTTAGACTCTATTCTGCTACTAAACACAAAGATTCTCAGCACACTCTAGCTTTTTCCATATTGTGTTTTCTTTATCCAAAGATAATCACTTGTAAAGACGATTATTCTAAAAAAAAAAAAAAAAAAAAAAAAAACCCAGCATAGTAAAAACCAAATAAGGCTGGGTGTGGTGGCTCATGCCTGTAATCCTAGAACTTTGGGAGGCTGAGGTAGGCGGATTGCCTGAGCTCAGGAGTTCGAGACCAGCCTGGCCAAGACAGTGAAACCCCATCTCTACTAAAATACAAAAAATTAGCTGGGCATGGTGGCACGTGCCTGTAATCCCAGTTACTTGGGAGGCTGAGGCAGGAGAATTGCTTGAACCCAGGAGGCGGGGGTTGCAGTGAACCAAGATCACGCCAGTGCATTCCAGCCAGGGTAACCCAGTGAGATTCAATGTCCAAAAAAAATAAATAAATAAATAAAAGTGCATTATGTTTTTCATGTCTAAACAGTAATTCATTTATTCTATTGTTTTATTGCTATCCTGCTTTTAAAATTTACCGTTGTTTTTCTAAGTATCAATCTGTATCATGTAAGAAGTGCTGAATTGCTTCCCTTTTTCCTTCCACAGTTAAGTGAGTATTTGTTTTGCTTTAGTCTGTAGGTTTGCTGTATGGGCCCATGTAAGTATATTGGCAACTTTTCTTTAAAAGCCATTGTAGTGTGATTGGTCCTTGAGAAAGGTTCAAAGTAGTATAAAATTACTTTTTTAAAAAATTATTTTTTCGAGACGGACTCTCACTCTGCTGCTGAGGCTCACCGCAACCTCTGACTTCCTGGTGCAAGCTATTCTCCTGCCTCAGCCACCTGAGTAGCTGGGATTACAGGCGCCTGACACCACGCCTGGCTAATTTTTGTATTTTTAGTAGAAACGGGGTTTCACCATGTTGGCCAGGCTGGTCTTGAACCCCAACCTCAGGTGATCCACCCGCCTTGGCCTCCCAAAGTGCTGGGATTACAGGCTTGAGTCACCAAGCTCGGCCTAAAATTACCTGTTAAATAAGTAAGTATATATTTCTCAGAGCTTAGATTATAAGCTCTCCAAGGACAATTAGAAGAACATGTTTACACATTTTGTATTATAGTATCTAGTATAGTAATATTCCAATTAGAAAGATAAATCATTTAATAAACTAAGGAATTTATTGATGAATGCATTGAACATGTGACCTTGTTCTTGTGTGTGTGCGTGTGTCCTGTGCTTGTGTGTGTGCACACATGCACATCCCCCCATGCTTTTGGTTTCCTTTCCCTCTTCTGAGGGAAATGGGATTTGTTATTGACATAACTCCATTCCTTCATTCTTTGATTTGCTTGTTTATTCACTCAGTATTTATTTCAGGCAGTCAGTTGTTTAGCAAGAAGATGATGGTATTTTCAAAGTGCTGAAAGAAAATATCCTGTAAAAATGTCTTCCAAATTAAGGTAAAAATACTTTTTTCAGTTAAATTAAAAATCAGGAGAATTCATCACCAGCAGATTCATAATGAAATAAGTATTAGAGGAAGCTATGCTGGAATGAGGAAAATGATTTCATGTGGCAACTCAGAGCTCAGGAAGTAATAAAGAGTAACAGAATGGTAAATATGTGGGCAAATCTAAACAAATATTGACTATAAAAATCAATAATGATAATATCTCATATGGTTAAACATTATCTGGAGAATTTAAAAACAGTATATAATATGGGATGTAGTGAAATATGATAGAGAATACTAAGTCCTTTGTGTTGTACAAAAAGTGGAAAAAGTACTGATTTATATTCGATTTTAGTAAGTCTAGGAGGGATGTTCTAACCACTGGGTAGCCTCTACTATTACAAGAGTGGTCAAACAGTATGATAGAGTACAATAGTGGGGATGGATATAATACAAATTCTTATTCAATCCAAAAGTAAGTAAGAAAGAAGAAAATAAGAACAGAAAACGCTGAGACAAATATAAAACAAATCATGATTACATTCCATTTAAATGAACTACAGATTTAATTAAAAGAAAAAGATTTTTAGAGTAGGTAAACAATTATTTTCTGCTTAGAAGAAATACATATTAAATATAAGGAAATGGCCAGGCACAGTGACTCACACCTGTAATCCCAGCACTTTGGGAGGCCGAGGCGGGCGGATCACGAGGTCAGGAGATCAAGACCATCCTGGCCAGCATGGTGAAACCCTGTCTCTACTAAAAATGCAAAAAATTAGCCAGGCATGGGGGCGGGCACCTGTAGTCCCAGTTACTTGGGAGGCTGAGGCAGGAGAATGGCGTGAACCCGGGAGGCAGAGCTTGCAGTGAGCCGAAATCGCGCCACTGCACTCCAGCCTGGGCGACAGAGCTAATAACACACATAATGAAATATGTGTGACTATTCCTATTAAGCTCAGATTAATTGATTTCTGGTTAATGGGTCAAAAGTCAAAACTTTTTTCCTTACAGATAGAATGCTATAGTTGTAGCTGTAGACTTAGAAACACGTTTAATAGTACAAATAGTGACCACTAAAAGTCACAAAGAGAAAACAAAAATATATGATTTTATGATTTACAAGTAATATAGAACATAAAACATTTATTTTATCTATTTACTTATTGCCTACATTTCCTATGTAACTATTGCCTATATTTGACGATTGTTGAACTACAAAAACAGCAATTTCAGATGGTTCAACCCAGTATTTATTTGTTTAGCATTGCAAGACAAGTTATTCAATTTACTTTTTATTAACTGTATGCAAGTATAACTTACAAGCAGAAAGTGCAAAAATCATACATTTGTGGCTTTACTTATCATAATTTAATACACTCAGAAAACTACAACCTGGCTCAGAAGACCCCAACACCCTTGTGTACATGATATATTCCTTTATTTATTCAATTCTTATTTAATTTTTCTCAGTAATGTTTGATAGTTTCTGTGCATATGTCTTGCACATATACATAGTTTCTGTATGCCTTAGTATATTTATTACTAAGTGTTTGATGGTTTGCAATGCTAATGTAAATGGTGTCATTTTATAAATCTCATTTTCTGCTTATTGTTGGTATAAGAAAAATAATCATTAGTGTTAAATTTATGATTCTAAATAAACTTATTTATTAATTTAAATATTTTGTCTGTAGATCCTTTTGGATTTTCTACATAATAATCTGGTCACCTGTGAATAATGAGGTTTGCTTTTTCCTTTCTAGTTCTTGTATCTTTTCTTTTCCTTGTCTTGTTTTACCGGATAGAACCTTTAGGAAAATATTAGCTCCAAATCATATGAAAAGGCATAAAGTGTGATTTAGTTTAAATCTCTCCAATACCAATCTGGCTACCATATTGTCTCTTTGGACCAGGGACATAGGTCAAGGACTATAGTCACCATGGAACACAGGACTAGACCCCTTTTGCACCATGGCACCTGAAGGCTGGATTGGTGCTTCAATTCTCAGTCCAAGAGCACTGAGAGGCATTTGTTTATTACTTCCCCTAGGATGGCACTGTACCAAGGTAATTAAGGAAGTTTATCGTGAACATGCTGGGATAAGTTGGAAAGGAAACATGAATGATGGAGATGGTGTAACAAAATGGTTTTGACAACTTTGAATCTGAATACTTATCCTAATTTAATCCTCATGGTGCAATGTGTGAGTCTAACTCAGGCCATTTCCCTGATACAGATCCTGTTTTGATTCTGGCCATGTCTAGCTTCTTTCAGGTTGTGAAGCGGATAAGGTAAAGATTGTTAAGTGATTTCTACTTCTCTAGGAATTTCTTCTAAGATTAGGCACATTATTTTTGATTGAGCCAGGAAGCAATAGAAAAATGAGGAGCAGATGTTGATTGTTGATTACCAGTTAGTTTCATTTTCCATCAGCTGACAACCTTCACTCACTTTCACTCAGGCTATATTTACCATAAAGCTAATACATTCGGTTAAAAAAATGTAGCAATGTGAAGTGGGCTACAACATCTGGAGTTTAAGTAAATTGGCCAGATGTTTTGGTGGTTTATAAATAAAAGCCAAAAAAGAAAAGAGAAAAAGGAAACAAGGGGTAGGAGAGTGAGCTGGACTTATGATGTAGCTACCCACTCATACCCTGCACCTCCTCAGAGTCTGCAGGAGATGAAGCTATGTGAATCACGATTGAGGAGGTGGAATTAAAGGGATAATAAATTTTGGAACTTGGCCCTGAACAAAGAGAAGCGACCTTCGTTGTCGTAGTGTGGAGAAATGGATGGTTGCCTCAGACTTTTTTTGTATCTAGAAATTATTTCTCAATGGCTCATAATTTTTGAATTATATTTACATGGCTTCTCATATCCAAGCCAAGATATCAGTTCACTGAGAGGGCTTTGCCAAATTGGAAATAGATTTGTTTTCCATGTTGGAATTACTGATGAAAACTGCAGGCATAAGTTCTTTTCCCTTCCTTTTTTTTTTTGTAAATGTGAAATACATCTTGCTTTGTTCTATTTATTTCTTTCTCAGTACAATACACTTCATCGAATAATTCTCAAACAGTTTTGAAAAGAGCTCAGGTTTGAGAATAAGATTTGTGCTCAAATTCAAACTTTGTACTTTTTAGCTTTCTAACTGGGTCAATGTAACCTCTTAGAACTTCAGTTTCTACCTCTGTAAGATGGGAACAATAATTATTATATCCTAAAGCTATTTTGTGAAATAAATGACTTAATAAAATGTAAAACACATAGCACTTTTTCAAGTCAAACCATATGAAACTGCCCGCTTGTAGCTCTTCTAGATTCTCTGTTTAGGTAGATTTACTCCATCCTTCATTTGTGATTCGGAGATGGGCAAATCAGCTGGGTGTAACTACCTCTTGGCCTAGACCTAAACAAAAAAAGTTTTTTGTTGTTGTTAATGTTTTTTTAAAGACTATCTGCTATCACCAATTTAAGCCCAGAGAAATAGGAACAGAATGGAAAATTATTCTGCACAACTATATGTGAGTTAATGTGATACACTGAAATAGAAAATATTCAACATGTATTTTCATTTATTCTTCCAACAAATATTCAATGAATGGCCTATTATAGATGGAAATGGTTCTAGGTGTTGGGGACACAGAGTTTACATTCTATTTGGGGAAATGGATAATAAGAATAATAATTAAGTAAACTATATAGAAGTTAAAAGGAGATTCAGTCTATAAAATAGCACCAGGAAGGCACGAGGAGAACTGAATGGATGAATATTAAATATGTTATTAACTTGCAAATATTTCTGAGCTTTATGAAGGAGGTTACATCAATGAGACAATAGCAATGAGAATAATAAAGATTCAATATAAAATCCTGGCAGGATTTTATATTGAAGGATTTTATATCCCTTTTAGGTGGGGAGCTTTACTTGGTTGTTGTGAATCTTAAACCATGCTGGATAAGCTGCTCTTTGGACTAAGATATGACCCTTCTTCAGAAAAGAAATGGAATTGACTATAATATGGAAGTAAAATTAACAGAAGAATTCCCATCCAGAGCTATATTTTGAACAATATTCTTTCCCAGGGAAACCAGTGCTGTGAGGGGCTTGCTCTAATAGTCTTACATTTCCAGACATCATGGTCTAATTCTGAGTTCTATGTGTTCTGAAATGATTGCCCTATAAAATGCTATAGAGAGAAAACCTATTTCTGATATTAGTTAAGTCTTTGTAGAAATGTTTCAAGTTTCTCTTTGATATTAGTGGGAACAGAAATTAATACAATGAAACGGTCTATCAAAATACCAGAATAGGTTGTTCGAGAGTAGCAGTTGCTAAAGAAATTTGAAGTGTGTAGAAAAAAAGGAACTATATGAATCAAAGTAAGTTTTTTTATTACTAGGTATTTCAGTATTTATCCTCAGCAAATGACCTTGTTTCCTACTTCATATAGGAAATAAGGGAAGAATGAAAGCATGGAATACTTCAGTTCCTACCTCCAAGTCTCTTGCCCCCAAATGTAACCATATTCATAAAAAATGTGCCTATATTCATCATTCATTTCATTCCTACTTTTTCCCTCACATTTGAATATATACTCTCCCTTTCTTTCAAAATGAATGGCTTAGTCCAAATGGCAGGTCATCCACCGCAGGCTGGTATACACACCCACAAAATAAAAACCCCAACCTGAGGGCTACCCTGCCAAGATTTCACATTGAGTCTTTATTATTCTTGTTACTACTTTCTGATTGATATAACGTCTTTTGTAAAGCTCAGGAATACTTGCAAGTTACCAATATATTTAACATTCAGCTCACCCAATGCCTTAACTGTGCTGTTTTTATAGACTTACCACCTGGATTCTGTGCTTTTCAACTACTCAGGAATTATTTCTTCCAATCTTTTATCCGTTTCCCTTTTCTCTCCTCTTTCCTTTCTCCTCTCTTTTTCTGCCTTTTCACTTTCTACTATTGAATTTTTTTTTTCTGCATACGAACATGCTTTAGTCTTCCCCCGCTTAAAAGCAATCAAAAAAGAACAAAATACCATCATCAATAACAGTAACAACTCTCGCAGCTTAACATCTGCCGCCGGGTACTCCCCTCTTTTCAATCCTTTCTCCTCAAGCTCAGCGGGTAGGTCTTTGGTGCTGTCTCCACTATCTCAATGCCCTGTCCATTCTCAGCACAACACAATCTGACATCTGGCTGTTGCTCTTTTATTATTGAGACTTTTTTCAATCAGCTCAGTGATGACCTCCTAGCTATGAAAGGCAAGGATATTCTTGAGTACTTACATTAGCTGGCCTTTAGTAACATGAGACAGGTGACCTCATCCTGCAGCAATTAGATGCGTATTTTCTGCCCGTGTACGGGAAGTGCAAGGATACATAGGAACGTCCATGTGGTTTCCCTTTAAAAGTATGACTTCCCTTGGCTTCTGAGAGACCACTCACTCTTGATTTTTTTTTCTACCTCCCAGACTTCCCTATCTCACCATCTTTGCTGGTTTCTCTCTTACCTTCCTATAAAGGTTAGTTTTTTCCTAGAATTCCATAATTAACTCTTGTTTTCATTCCATTTCCTCCCTGCAGTCATGCCCTGTTTCATTGGCATGAAATCAGCACAATTGCAAAGGCCCCATGTTTTGAAGGTCCCCAGCCTTAAACTGATGTTCTGCTTTCCCATTTTGAAATGTCTAATTTTTGGACAAGGACTCCAGGCCTTTTCATTGTTCACTGGACTTCACAAATTATGTAGCCTGTCCAGCCCCAGGTGGTCTCGTCTACAACTAAGAATTCCATTATCACCTGTGACTGATTAACTTCCTAGGTGCTACACCTGGTATGGAATAAGAACCTTTTCCTCCGAGAAACATATCCAAAAAAGTCTAACTTCTTGTCGACCCTGGTACACAGGGTTTTATTTATTCTGGGCTTCTGATTTTCTACCCCAAATGTCTTTACTCTTTTTTCTTCAGGTAAAGTCACAATTTTCCTCAGGAAGCAGTCCTGGGTCCGCTTCAGCAAATGAATAAGAGCTTGATTGTGTCCCTCAGGTGCTACAGTGTAAAGCAAGGCTCAGATGACGTTGGCTTGGAAAAGGTTCAAAATAAGTTGTACTAATCTGTCCCCACCAGGGCTATGGGAAAATCTTTAAATTGCATCTGTGAAATGTCTGTTGAGCAAAATGGCCTCCTTGTGAATCCATCAGCATGGATTAGCTGCAAAATATGCCATGGAACCAAAAACGACTGTGATGGTTACCAGAGACTGGGAAGGGTAGTGGGGGTGGGCGGGTGGTTAATGAGTACAAAAAAAAATTAGAAAGAATGAATAAGCTCTAGTACTTGATAGCACAACAGGGTGACCACAGTCAACAATAATTTATTGTACATTTAAAAATAACTAACAGTATAATTGGATTGTTTGTAATGAAAGAAAGGATAAGTGCTTGAGGTGATGGACACCCCATTTACCCTGATGTGATTATTACACCTTGCATGCCTATATCAGAATAGCTCATGTACCCTATACATATATACACCTACTATGTACCCACAAAAATTAAAGAATAAAATGAATGACCTTCTCAAAATCTCTCCCAAATAATAAATGATCTTTTCACAGAATGGTTATTTCCAAGCCATCTTTATGACAACGTGACTTACCAGAATCTAATGTCTTTCAAAATAGCTTCTGCCTAACCTGAGCATAGAGGATACTGCTCCATCTCTCCATGGCAGAGGCATGTGTCTAGTTCATCTGAGGGTGATTTTCTGTTATTAAAAAGGACGTGAAGTGGAAGGAGCAGGGCACAGCCTTGTCTTATGCCACCGATGATGATAAGCTTGTTCTTGCCTGTCCCAACTTTTGAAATGGTATTAAGATTCAGAATGTGGATTACCATGAAAAAATTATACCCCTTTCTTGGTATCAGAGCCAAAGAGCAATAACAAATCATTAAAAATTACATCACCAGGTCAGGGGTTTGAGGCCAGCCTGGCCAACATGGTGAAACCCCATCTCTTCTAAAATACAAAAATTAGCTGGGCGTGGTGGTGGGTGCCTGTAATCCCAGCTACTCCAGAGGCTGAGGCAGGAGAATAGTGTGAACCCAGGAGGCGGAGGTTGCAGTGAGCTGAGACTGCACCATTGTACTCTGGCCTGGGCAACAGGGCAAAATTCTGTCTCAAAAAAAAAAAAATTACATCACCATGTATTATTCTTTTTCTATTTCTCTAAAATGTCATAAAAATGTAATAACCAATGGTAGAGCAGTTATTCTCAAAACCCATTGTTTCTCAAATAAAATATTGCCAATAGTTAAAAAAATAACAATTTGAAGAAATATCAGGCAAAAGTAATGGGTCTGCAGTGTTGAGGAAAGTTTACATTAGTGAACGGCAGTTAACTGCTCTTATCTTTTTGTCCCTGAAATGTTATCCCAGAAATGAGCTCTTCGTCTCCAACTCAAATTCCATTTTTCATTATAAGAAGTCTGAGGGCCTGGCGTGGTGGCTCATGCCTGTAATCCCAGCACTTTGGGAGGCCGAGGCGGGCAGATCACAAGGTCAGGAGTTCGAGACCAGCCTGGCCGATATGGTGGCACTCCATCTCTACTAAAAATACAAAAATTAGCCGGGCGTGGTGGCAGGTGCATGTAGTCCCAGCTACTTGGGAGGTTGAAGCAGAATAATTGCTTGAACCCGGGAGACGGAGGTTGCAGTGAGCCGAGATCGCGCCACGGTACTCCAGCCTGGGCAACAGAGCGAGACTCCATCTCAAAAAAAAAAAAAAAAAGGAAGTCTGGAACTGTGATGATACTAAAGAAAGAAAGGAGAAAAAAAAGACAAAAACAACTTCCTGAGCCTTTCTTCATGGTGTGTCTTCCAGGTCTGGCCCTTGCCCTGACTCTAGCTATATCTTCTATCACTTTCCTGCTCTAATCCTTGCTCCAAAACCGTTATGTTACTGGTGTTAATCACCCTCATGTTTGGTGTCCCTGGCCTCTGTTAGGTCTTGGAGGTAACTTAAGGGAAATTTAAAGGAACTTAAGTTTTATTTTCTTGCAGAGCTAGATAACCACAAAAGAGCAGACAGCCGAGCCCAGCTGAAGACAGGCGCCTTTCCCAGAGTTTACAGATGGCACTCCTGTCCACACGGTCCTATTATCTCCAGTTCCATCCTATTCCATATTCTTCCTGTCAACAACACATCTCACACCCAATTAGAGAGTTGGCGCCATTATCAAGAGAGGAAGAAGATGGAGTCTTTGGTATTCATTTCCAGAGCTCCCTCTGGTACTCACACTGCGCTCTCCGGGGCCTTTGGCATCTAGAGATGCAGAACATGCCTCATCAGGCTCTCCTGACCCCCAGGAGCCAAGTATGCTCCTTAAGTTTGTGCCTATCCTTCCCAACATGAACTATCCATACATCAAAATAAAAGCATGTGCCCAGGCTACCTAAATCCCACTCAGCATGTAGTGGGAAAGGAGCTACTGTCTAGCTGTACCTTAATCATATATGAAGCCAAGAGGACAGGCCAAGTTCCTCCAGAGAGTTCTGTTTAGATAAGGAAAGCTCATGATGTGAAAGAAGTTATTTCTCCATCATGGACGCTCTTTACTGTCTTTTAAGAAAAAAAAATGTGACATTCTGGCATTATTTATTATAAACGTTTACACTCAGAAACTATTAATATAAATGAGCAGAGGAGGCTTTGACCAGGACTGGTTTTAAAATTGGCTGCCCCGCAAGCTGGACACCCAATGTAGTACAGCTTCCTCTCATTGTGGGGTGTTTTTTTTTTTTTTTTGGAACAGGGTCTAGGCTAGAATGCAGTGGTGTGATCGTAGCTCACTGCAACCTCAAACTCCTGAGCTCAAGCAATCCTCCTCCCTTGGCCTCTCAAAGTGCTGGGATTATAGGCTTGAGCCACTGTGCCTTGCCGGCACTGTGTTTTTGTGCCAGGCCTTGTCACACTCAACAGTTCCTCAAATGAGCCACACTCTTTTACACTCCTAGGTCTCCAAATTTGTGATGCCCTCTACATCAAATGCTCTTTTCCATCTGGTCAAATCTTATATTCCTTAAGGACTTGATTCCTTTGGGAAGCCTCCTCCAATGCCCTGGTTTGAGACAGACACCCCTGGTCTTTTTTCCTGTCATACCCAGTGAGCAGCTGCCTCAGTCCCTCTTCTCAGGCAGGTCATTTTCCCTGTGCCCGAACAGTCTGGCATATGGGACTCAAAGGGAGAGGAGTGGGGAGAGAGAGAGAGAAAAGAAAAGAAAAACAGAAAGGGAAAAAGGAAGGGAGAGAGAAAAAAGGAAAAAAGGAAGGAAGGAAAGAGGGAGGGAAGGAAGGAAGGGAGGGAGGGAGGGAAAAAATGGAAGGAAAGCAGAAAATTGTAAAGAAAGAGAGAGAGAAAAGACAGAAGGGAGTGCTGAACACTCTGACATGTTGTCTCTAAATAGGTTTAATTTGGCAGTTGAATTCTAAAGAAGGTAATAATTTCCTGCTATGTCTCCCATAATGGTAACACCACCAGGGGAACAGCCAGTAAGGATTGTTAATGCTTGCACGCATCTAGCAGATCAGTTTTTTTCACCCATGGTTCATTGAGATAAGCAAAAATAGTCCCTGATTCAAGCCTTATTACTTTCTCTATAAAAAATGACCCCTCATTAAGATCACAACATAATTTTAACTCAACACTAATTGTTATCTTTAACTAACAGTGCTTGAAGAAATACGCAATTTGAAATTAGATCCAAGCAAGGTAAGTATTGTCTTGATTTTCAAGATGGAGGAAAGGCAGAACATTTCACCCTGATAGGGATCACTGTTGGCTTCTACTCCTCCAGGGCTGCTCAGCTCTACTTGCAGAATTGACCGCCTCTGCTCCCAAGAGCACCTGCCATTGCTCACCCATCTACCAGGACATCAGGATTGACTGGGTGGAGACCACGAACCTGGGACCTTAGCATCTTGGGTACAAAGCAGGAGCTAGGGCACATGTTGCATCGTTACCCAGACTTCTGACTTGTTGACCCTGTTTACCTGGTTTCTGCCTTTGGTCTTTTGATTAGTAACTCCAGTTTTCTGGTGCAACTGGAATCCCACTCTACCCTAGAATCTGTTTGTTTGAGATTCTGATAGTTTTCCTAACACTCTTGCCAGCTCGACCTCTCCAGCAGCTTACTTTAGTTTCCTGAACCGACAGCCTCTGGCTAAGGTCCTGCATTCAGTGGACCGCTCACTCAGAACCCTGGGAATGCTGCCTGCCTGAGATGAGAAACCACGCTCTCCTGGCTTGTGTTGCTCTGATTAACCCTTTAACTTGAGCTGCCTTAAATGTGGGTGCCAGCTCAAAGCAAGCCCCAATTTTCCCATGCCTTTTTCGGTACTATATATTAGACTGGCTGCCTATCATCTGTCAAATCAGAGGCCAGTCCTACAGCTATACCCTGATTCTATCTGCTTTAGCGCCCCTACCTACTCAGGCCTTTGAAGTTTCATGCAGGCCCGGCTGCTTACCACTTGCAAATTCAGATAACAAGCACAACGGTGGTAGAAAGAGAGTGACTTTTATTCAGAGCTTAGCTGAGGGGAAACAGTACAGGCTCCTGCCTTAAGGAAATGGCTCGAGCTTTTGGGGAAGAAAGCAGAGGCTTTGAAAAGGGACTTAGCCTGAATGGAACACAGGGGACAGGGTGAGGGGGTGTGGGGGTCTGCATGACTTACTTTGATGTCTTATCCATCCAGTGGTCTGGCTGGCATCATCATGGGCAGGGTTGAGTTGTAAATTGAATGTTGTTTTGAGGGAATCTCCTGGTGGGTGAGAGTTCCACAGGTGCCTGGTGTGTTTCAAGGTTCAGTTGTCCCTGGAACTTCTAAGCAAACACATAGTTAGGTAAGAGTGTCTGCTGGAGAGATGGTAAAGGTTATCATTACATTTCTGAAGAGCTAAGTAGGCGGTCTTCAGGGGAAAAGGAAAAAATAATTCATTTTTTTTAAAGAAAATGGGGTTCTTGGTTACAGCCCTGAAGCCAAGCTTGCTCAAACTATGAAAATATATTGGAAAATGACACAACAGGTTATTAGGCAGATGGTTTGTCAACATTTATAAAATTATTGATGACAGCTCAGATTTACTAAGAATGTATCATGCCAACTTAAGCCCCTCTTGGTGTTTTTATGGATAAAATGGTGACACATAAGCCACATGAGTTCTCTTAGGTAGAGTCACAGCTGGCTGAATATTCAACAGTCATCTCCAGAAAGCATTGGTTGATGGCTCAGGGTCAACATGGAAGAAGTTCTTAGTGATGATCATGATGCTTAACCCAGGCCTGCTAACCACGGTAGCCACAACCTGGGTAGGAGTCTGATACTTTATATGCTCTGATATGGTAAGATATTAATACCATGAGATATAGGATGTACGGAGCTTAGGAGGATAGAGTACACTGTCTTCACCATAGTGATGTCCCCCTTTGGTTCAGAAATGTGACCCAGAAGAGTAAAGAGTTTAGAAAGTTTCTGTGTGGTTAAAAAATGAAGTAAAATAAAGTTAATTGAATAAGGACTGTAGGCAGTAGGCCTTCAAGAACTAGAGACAATAACTGAGGACTCAGTAAGATCTTAGGGCATTTGTAATTGCATGTTATGACATTTTTAAATGTAAACTGTTTCTCTAAATATTTAGCACTAAAACACTCAATATGAAATACATTAAAATCTTGATGCAGTACCCGCTAATGTGAGTGCAGGATAAATGCATAAATGTGCAAAATGCCCTACTGAGATTTCCATTCACCCCACCCTCACCCCTGATTTTCACTCCAAAGACTCCAGGTTCCCATTGGCACCACCTGCCCATAAGAGCCTTCCCCAGCGTGCTTACTGCATTTAACACAATCCTGCACTGAAAGGCACCTGCAGGCAAAGCTTTGCCTCTTGGCCTTGCCAGTTAGTTCTGGAGCCCACCAGACACTCTTGGTTTACATTCTGTTAAAGGCAGACTAGGATCATATGGCAGTTCTCTTTGTGATTTTTTGAGGAACCCACATACTGTTCCAGAATGGCTGTACCAATTTACATTCCCACCAACAGTGTGCAAGGTTCCCATGTGCCCACACCCTCACCAACACTTCTTCTCTCTTATCTTTTTGATAATAGCCATCCCAACAGATGTGAGGTGATATCTCATTGTGGTTTATATTTGCATTTTCCTGATGATTAGTGAAGCTGAGCAGCTTTTCATGCACCTGTCGGCCGTGAGTATGTTTTCTTTAGAGAAATGTCTATTAAAGTCCTTTGCCCATTTTTAAATCCAGCAATCCCACTTCTGGGTATGTATCTGAAGGAAATGAAATCAGTATCTTGAAGAGATATCTATACTCCCATGTTTATTGAAACATTATTCACAATAGCAAAGACATGCTAACAACCTGAGTGTCTGTTGATGAATGAATGGATAAAGAAATTTTTGGTGTGTGTATATAAAGGAATATTATTCAGCCATAAAAAGGAAATCCTGCCATTTGCCACAACATGAATGAAGCTGGAGCGCATTATACTAAGTAAAATAAGCCAGACACAGAAAGACAAACGCCACACGATCTCATTTGTGTGTGAAATATTTAAAAATTCAATTAACAGAAGCAAGAGTAAAATTAGAATGCTAGTTGCTGGGTGGGTGGGATAAGATATTGGTCAAAGGGTACAAACTTTCAGTTGTGATTAATAAATTCTAGGGATCTAGTGTATTAATTAATAAATTCTGGGGAGCTAATGGGTGATTACAGGACCATAGTTAACAGTTCTTTATTGCATATTGTAAATTTGTTAAGAGAGCAGACCTTAAGTTTTCTCATCTCCAAACAAAACAAAAACTGTGTGAGGTGATGGATAGGTTAATTAGTTGGTTTGTGGTAATCATTTTACAATGTATACACATATCAAAACATCACGTTGTACACAGTTAATATATCTAATACTTATCTGCCCATTAAAAGCAAAACCAAAAGATCTTTTTTTAAAAAGTTCAGAGCTTACTGTCCACACCCCTCAATCAAAACTTCCTCAGAACATGGAGTCACCAGCTAGCTTCCTTTCTGCAGACCAGACTCAACTGGGACACAGGCGGCCTCTCAAACCTCTGCCCTCTCCACCTCCCATGTCAGTGTTCAGTGTCAAGTTCTAGTAGGACTTTACGGTTTAGTTTTCTGTTAACACGGGTTGTTTGAAGAGGACGAACCCTTTCCTCTGAACACTTTGAAACACATTTGAACAAACAGAACAGCCTTCAAACAAAGTTTGAGACCAATCTCCTCACACCTTGGAAAAGCTCCTCGGCCTTTTGGTGATTCATTCCGCCCACTGTAAAGTGGGAAGTTTATAATAAACAGCACCTGCCTCAGAGGTCCCTGGAAGCCTTGCTGGCTGTGGGATGGTTTCTGTTGCCACAGCATGTGTGTACCTCTGAGTAGACCTGCAAATATGAGTCACCCTGGTACGTGCCCTCATAAAATTATACACAAAGCATGCCTTCCTAGCTTGGCAATTAACTAATTAATTGATGGCCAGGGTATACAATGGAGTGTACAGTCTAAACCGCATTCATTACTGCTTATAGAATTCCATGAAAGCCTAGGGAAGAAGGTGCCACAGAAGTGTAGGGCATTATTGCTGCTGTAGTGGCTGCAGTTGTTAGAGGCTGGGTTAGAGATGGGGAGCTCAGAGAGCTCAGAGTCAGGGGCCCTGGGTTTCCGGTTCTGCCAGCCTCTCATTTAGTCTTTTTTTTTTTCTTTTTTGGGGGGACAAAGTCTCGCTCCGTCACCCAGGCTGGAGTGCAATGGTGCAATCTCAACTCACTGCAGCTTCTGCCTCCCGGGTTCAAGCGATACTCCTGCCACAGCCTCCCGAGTAGCTGGGACTACAGGCCCGTGCCACCAGGCTGGGTAAATTCTTGTATTTTTAGTACGGACAGGGTTTCACCATGTTAGCCAGGATGGTCAATCTCCTGAGACCTCGTGATCCGTCCGCCTCGGCCTCTCAAAGTGCTGAGATTACAGGCGTGAGCCACCGCGCCCGGCCTCATTTAGGCGTTTTAAAGGAAGTGGCTTCATATCTCTGTTAATTTAATCCAGTATGTGAAATCATTACAATACTAAAGACTCTTTGAAACAGGCGTGGGATAACCAGAAGCTAGAAGTGCATTAATAAGTCAGCAATATGGTAATAGCACCCACGGTTGTACAGATGAGGATAGATTTAAACAAAGGCCACGCAACTCAGGTTCAATTCAGCATTGTCCTTCCAAAGTCTTCACTCTGGAAGGCCTTGCTATCCTTCCATTTTGTATTTTATTGTTTATTTTTATTTTTATTGACACATTTTAATTGTACATATTTATGGGGTACAACGTGATGTTTCCATACATATATATATGTTAAATAATGACCAAATATCCATCACCTCATGCATTTATCATTTATTCGTAGTAAGAACATTCAAAAGCCTCTCTTCTAGCTCTTTTGTAACCCACGGCTTCCTACTGTACAATAATAGATCACCAGAACTTATGCCTCCTTTCTAATGGTAACTTTGTAGCATTCTTCACTTTAATACAATAAATATTTATGGAACACCAACTGTGCTAGGCACTTAAGGGAATAAAAAGATGAAAAGAAAAACTCATTTTCGGGTGAGCTGCAATCTAGCTATGGAGCTGAGAAATGAACACGAACAACTAAGACCCCGGAGTAAGTGCCAGGAGATGTTACAACCAAAGGCTCAAAAAAGATACTAAGATTGCCGAGGAAGGTGGTTAGTAACTAATTTGGCTGGGGTCATCACGGAAGGTTTTGTGTCCTTTGGTGAAAGCTTTGAAGGACGGTAATAGTTTTCTTTTTGGTTTGGTTAGTATTTATTTTTGTTTTTGCCAGGATGGGGAGTAATAGGAGGAAGAATAAAATGCATTCAAGGCAGAGAAAACAGTAGGTACAGGAGGCACGTTAAGGGCCCTGTGGAAGGTTTTCCTTGCTTTTCCTCCCTTCCTCATTTCCCATTCCATTCAAACCTTCCCCACCTTTGACGTGATGATTGAAATGCCACCACTTCCTTTGGTTGAAGACTGTTGTTTATTCATACAGGGTGTAGACGCAATAAGGCAAGACAAGGCAGAGAGAGTGTTGGAGCCAGAACTGGAAGTACTAACATGTAGGTGGGTTTGGTGGATGTTACAAGTGTAAGCAGGCAACAAGTCAAATCTATATAATTAATTCATCTACTAGCTTTTTAATTCAACAGACATGTATTTATTGTCGACTATGTGTTTAGCATTGTGTTAGCTCTTAGAAAATGAAATAAAAGTAATAAGTGGTCCTTGTACTTAGTTAAGGAGCTTATAGACTGGTAAAAATAGGCAGATCTGCATACAAGGGAGTGACAGCATGCTGTTGGAGGTGTTAGAGGTAAGAGCGACTGATTCACAGCAAGCACCCACTGCTGGGAGGAGGCAGGTTCATGGATATCGGAACAAGCAGGCCACAGGCTTTAAATGGGACACAGGAATGGTATCACAAGACAAATGGAGTTCTGCAGTCATGTCACAGGTGGTGTCTTCAGCTTGCCCGTGTGTGCATAGTCCTGGCCTATAGCTGTGAATTAGGGCATGAAAATGTACCGAGACTCTAGTTAGGACACGTGGTTTTGGAGCCTGACATTTGAAACTTCATGTTCAATAATATTAATGAGAGACAGAAACTGATTTTCTCTGAGTACAAATTTTACGTAGAAACATGTTAGTTTAGTAATCAGCACTGACCAAAACTGAATCAACAATCTTAAAACAGTTGGCAAGACTTCTCTCACTTTTCTGGAAATCTATTCTCAGATTTCTTTTGATCTGGAGTACTCCTTGGGAGGCACATTGAATGATTTGAACACACAGATAACAAAATACATCACTTCTTCCTTCTAGCTATGCCATGTGTTACATGGTCTCTGGACTTCAGTGAACTGCTGAACTTCAGCTAATTGCATTTACCCCGTGTTCATCTCAAAATTCTTAGTAGTCATGGTAGCTCGGGGAAAGTCTGTTTAAAAATGTTTCTTTCCTAAGGCTCTGTCCAACTTCAATGAAAAATGATCAACTTATATTTCACCAGCTGTGAAAGAAGCTGTGTATGGAAGCTGAAGTTAACAAGCACCATAATTTGAATTTATCTCAGTGATAGTTTATGCCTTGTTCAAATTTGCCCCAAGGGAGCTGCCCAGCCAGCCCACCTTTTCATCTGGCCTTGCCTAAAAATAATTCCTACCTCTGATGAAAGTAGAAACAAAGATTCTAGGGTGGTCTTCCCCTTACCCCCTGCGCAAGGGAAGGGGAGCCCATTGAGGTAGGTGAGTCACTTGAAACCTCAGTGTATATGTGGCCAGTACAGGTCCCCCTTCCTTTGGAGTGGCTTTGACAGGCGAAGCTGGAGAAAGCCTGAGCACCTTGGAATTTTCTGGGGAGTGGAGAGGAGACAGGATGGAGGGGCCAGTCATACACAGTGTCCCTGCTGGGACAGAAAAGCCAGGGTTTTCATCCCCATCATGCTTTCAGTTGGATGGAGACTAAAGACAATAAGAACCTTAGGGGCTGGGCGCGGTGGCTCACGCCTGTAATCCCAGCACTTTGGGAGGCCAAGGCGGGTGGATCACAAGGTCAGGAGATGGAGACCATCCTGGCTAACATGGTGATACCCCGTCTCTACTAAAAATACAAAAAATTAGCTGGGCATTGTGGCAGGCACCTGTAGTCCCAGCTACTCGGGAGGCTGAGGCAGCAGAATGGCTTGAACCCGGGAGGCAGAGCTTGCAGTGAGCCGAGATCGTGCCACTGCACTCCAGCCTGGGCGACAGAGCAAGACTCCGTCTCAAAAAAAAAAGAACCTTAGGTACAAAGACTTCTTTATTTTCAGACAAACACCAAAAACTCGTATATCTGATAAATATGGGGTCTCCTAGAAGAGTCACTTCAAGGAGGTCTCCAATTAATCCCCAAATGTGGACCTTCTTCAAAACATACTTTGAAACTCCTCATGTGGAATGGACACAAAAACCTATGGTACCTTCTTTTGACTGCCCTTAATGAAGTCAGACTCTGACCCCAGGTTGATAAATCGCAGCGGTGCTGTAGGTGGTAAACACAGGCCGGGCCAGTGCTTATCTAACCACAGGCACTAGGGCTGCAGCAAGAGGAGATAAGGCACTGTGATCAGACCACGATGTGCTATAATCAAAGGTTAAAAAAAACACACACACACCAAGATAACATAGAAGGAGGTAGAGAATTAATTCTGGATGGAGTTGTCAGAGAAGTTTTTATGAGTTTCCATCTGAAAAATGCTTTGGGCTGGGTGCAGTGGCACACATCTGTAATCCCAGCACTTTGGGAGGCTGAGGCGGGCATATTGCTTGAGCTCAGGAGTTCGAGACCAGCCTGGGCAACATGGCAACATGGCAAGACCCTGTCTCTCCAAAAATACAAAAATTAGCCTGGTGTGGTGGCATGAGCCTGTAGTCCCAGCTACTTGGGAGGCTGAGGTGGGAGGATCACTTGAGCCTGAGAGGTGGAGGCTGCAGTGAGCCATGATCATGCCACCGCACTCCAGCCTGGGTGACAGAGGGAGATCCTGTCTCAAAAAAAAAAAAGCTGCTTTGGATATTGGTAATTTTCTCTCTGTGGCTTGAGGTTGTAGTCCCAGCTATTTGGGAGGCTGAGGTGGGAGGATCACTTGAGCCTGAGAGGTGGAGGCTGCAGTGAGCCATGATCATGCCACCGCACTCCAGCCTGGGTGACAGAGGGAGATCCTGTCTCAAAAAAAAAAAAAAAAAAAAAAAAAAGTTGCTTTGTATATTGGTAACTCTCTCTCTCTGTCTCCCTCCCTCCCTCCCTCCCTCCCTCCCTCCCTTCCTTCCTTCCTCTTACCTTTATACAGACATTGGTTCAGTTCTGCACTAAAGAATATTTATCAAATGTCTGTTACAGGCCAACATCTGGAGAAAAACTGACTAAGACACAGTCCTTGTTCTCAAGAGGCTCCCCGCCTGGTAGGGGATAGCATAGGAACAGACCTGTTTCACACAGTGAGAAAGCCAGTGGGGAAGGCGAGGCATAGAGCACTCTAAGGATCAGAGCTGGAAAGAGATGTGCTTCTACTAACGCTAAATTTTGCTTCCACTTTTACAATAAAAGCTTCTGTTTTCTTTTTTTCTCTAGGCTGTCAGGGAATTTAGGGATAAGTTTTATGGCTAGTAGTCTCCTCTTAGTTCTAGATTTCTGAGAATCCCATTCTCCCTACTCCATCACTCAGAGCTGATCCTACACGTGCCATTTTAATATGCTTTTAACATTTTCGGAAATAGCCAGGACATAGTGGAAAATAAATGAATACCTCCCAGAAGCATAAGAGCAATAAAGGCATTAGATAGAGCCCAGGATCCTTATTTATCAATTTTGTGGCTCTGCTAGGAAAACTCTTACAGGAAACTGAGCTGCTCAGAATTTTTTTTTTAAATCTATAGGTTTTTTGCAGAAATTTCTAGTGGTATTAGCTTTGTGAGTTGGAATTAAGAGTGGAGCTGGTCAGGTGGAGAATGCTGAGACAATGTTTTAAAGCATATTTATTACATAACTGAGATTGAGCAGAAATGTGAAGACAGCAGCTTGCCATATTTGGAGACGTCCTGCTTCTCTTCTACAGTGGGACCCAGCCATTCTTCTGTGTTGGCCCTCAGCATACTCTAAGCACCTTAAGGGCCAGGACCAATATTGTCTACCTGTAATCCCAGCATCTTGCACAGTGCCTAGCTTGTAGGAAGCACATATAATGAATGAATAAACATGACATATTTCTTCCAAGCTTTGGCCCTGAGCCACTAAGAATGATTATGGCACTGATTAAAACAGGGAAGCTAAAAGGAGGAGCAAATTGGGGGCAGCAATGGTTGATTTAGTTTATAAAATGTTGAGTTTGAGGTGAAGCTATCCAGGTGGAGATGTCCCTCATACTGAGAAATCTTATATGATCTCTATGTGCCTCTTTGCATTCTCATCTATTAAGAGGAGATGATGATAATAGAATATATCTCATGGGGTTATTGAGAAGACCAGATAGGACAAGCTAAGTAAGTTCTGGCTCATAGCCAACACTAATAAGCATAAGCTCAAATAAATAACTACAGAGCCAGCTGTGATCCCTTCCTCTACTTACATTTCCTACACACTCAGTCAGGAAGTCTTATGAATTTTCCTGCAATATTTCTAGCATTAGTTGCCCATTCCTTTTGCACTCCTTCCTCCTTTACAACCTCTTTGCTAACTTCAGAAAATTTCTCTTCAGTCCCTCCCATTCCCTCAGTCTCAGTGCTGCCAGCTGACCTTCCCAGAGCCTGGCTCTGTCCCTCTCCCGTCCACTGCCACTCAGTCTTCAGCTTCCACTCATTTCTGCAGAAAGGCAAAACCAACAGGATGCACTGAGCACATAAAGACCAAGCTTCATCTGCTTCTCCCACCTGCAGTTCTAATGCCCATGAATTGTGCCCAATCTAGACTAAATACATTACTAGACCCTAGCAGCATCAGCTGCACCACCGTCAAAAGCAGTCTTCCATTCTTCCATGACTCATTCATTCATGTATTCACTTGTGGTATTTGAGGTCATCCTGAGCTCTGGAGCCTCATAGGCCTGAATCTGACTCCTGGCTCTGCCCTTTTCTATCAGGCTGCTTAGCCTCTCTGAGCCTCAGTTTCCTCATCTTTAAAGATGAAGCAAGTAACACCCTGAAGGAGTAGGTGGACGGGCTCTGCTCCATAGAAGGTGCTCCATAAATACTGGCATTCTTCTTTCATGTCCTAAGTAGCTGGTCCTTCATGTGTCTCAGGCCTGCTGGGAATCCAGTCTTTCTCCTTCACTCTGTGTAGAAAGGGCGGGCAGCTGAGATGACAGTCAGCTACAGGCCCATGGTCATTGTCGCTCCAGGTGTTGGCAATTTATCTTGAGGGAATTCTAGAGGCAAAGCCCAGCCTTGACAACTGCCTCCCTGAAGAGTGCTGTCTTGTCCACTCCCCTCATTCTGAAAAAAGAAAATACTGGGGTGCAAAACATATTGTTTATCCTGGTAACAGAGTGAATCAATTCCACAATTTCCTATATTCCAAATCCAGCCCTGGTTTGGATGATCAAATACCTTTCCCATTATAAAGGGCTTTCTCTCTTTTAAAAGTTTGTACAGACTAGGATCTACTTATTTTTGGCTTCCTGCCACCCAGAACAGTGCCTGGCACACAATAGGTGCTTGCTAAATATGTGTTAAGTGAGTGAATGAAGAAATTGATTACACCCGTGCCAGAGAAGTAAGCCCTCTATAGGATTTCCATGGCTCCCTCCGAGGGAGGGCTCCCTGTCGTGCTGGTGGCAAGGAGCTTATAAGGCCTCGGTCAGTTCCATGAACTGGAATCAATAGGTGGATTTGAGTGCAATAGCTTCTCATCAGACCTCTACATGAGGTCATCAGCGCACCACTGAAGCACTCCAATGGGAACATAAGAGCTCGGGTTCCCAATGCTGGACACTATTCTGATGAATGTCTGGTGGGCATTCATAAAGAAGAACTCAACTCACTTGAGAAACGGCTTTGTACGTGACATTTCAAGAAGAACTCAACTCACTTGAGAAACGGCTTTGGACATGATACTTTCAAGAAGAGAAAGCTTTTCCTTTGCAGAGATGTGACTCTAGTTGCAGGGGACAGCTAGTCATCATTGCCTGTCTTTTCCCAGACTCTATGGTGGCAGCCAGATGTCCCAGCCACATGCTGACTTTTCTGTCCTTCCTTTATTAAAAAACCCCAAAGAAACCAAGTGTCCAGATGGCCAGACTGCAAGGCTTTTTGATGATCATATCTCTCGGTTGGGACATGACTAAAACACATTTCTAAATAGAGTACAAACCCTCAGGAAAAGCTGACCCCAGAGATACGGAATACTTCTCTTGGCTGGCAAGTTGAGTGCCGACTCTTGGGGCCCATGTTCTCTTCCAGTCCTGACTTCCTTCCTTAGGAAGCCTGGTGGAGCCCGTCTGCACCCTCCCTGGTAGGCTTGCTGATGATATTCCAACACCCCTGAAACACACACTCAGTAAAATGCATCTGAACTAATTCAGAACAAAGAGAGAACTGCAGTCCCGATGTTTCAGGCTTCCCTGGGGACCACCTGTCCCAGAGCCAGGGCTGACTGAGAATGCAGTGCTGGGCAGAAGCTGGTTCTGACGACAGTACATGTAAGCCCCACACTCCTTCCAGGGCTGTGACTCAACTCAGCAGCAGCAGCCATGGCTCAAGGGCAGCATTAGCTCAACTCTGACTACCACCAGCTTACCCTTCCTCTGAGCCCATGCCCAAGCCCTGTGCGAATGGCATCAACACCCTGAGTGCTGTAGGGGAGTAGCACCTGTCCTGAAGCTGATAGTGCCCATGGGCCATTTTTTTTTTTTTTTGAGACAAAGTCTCACTCTGCTGCCCAGGCTGGAATACAGTGGCACAGTCACAGCGCTTGAACTCCTGGGCTCAAGTGATACTCCTGCCGCAGACTCCTGAGGCCATCACTCCCAGTTATGTTTTTTCTCTTTTGTTGAAACAGGATTTCACTATGTTGCCCAGGCTATTAAACTCCTGGCCTCAAGCAGTCCTCCCACCTTGGCCTCCCAAAGGGCTGGGAATACAGGTGTGAGCCATCAGAGGAAAGTTGCTCAGCTCTGTAAGACCTCCCCTACCCAGATATCATATGCCTAACATTCCTTCATTATAATTCATTCTTTGAATTCTTCCCTGCCCTCTTTCCAGACTAAATGCCAATAGGAGCTTATGATTCCAGGATGAATTCATAGTATATTTCTACTTGAACAGAAAAGATCAAGAGCAACTTCGGGTGGTACTTCAAAGCCCTTCACACACAATGAGGCCTTCTTAATTTCAAACCTGTCAGGACCAGCCCTTCTTATGGTTAAAAACGGCATTCACTTTTCCAAAAAGACTCCGAGTTAATGCGTGAAGGTCATTCACTGCACGGCTTCTTCGGGCCAAGGCTCATTCGGAAGAAAGCATTGACTCACAGTTGGAGAAATCTGACCTCTGAGATGGTCATTCCCTTAGCAGAGATGGGGTTCTGGTCTGCACTTTCACTCTTTTCTCTTAGATGAACATCCAGTTTTGTTTTGTTTCATTTTCTCTTGAGCAAAAGAGGGCAGAGTCCACTACAGTTAGAGCTCTGTTCAATATCCGTGGGTTCTTCATCCATGGATTCAGCAAACCTCAGATTAAAAATATTCAATAGGCTGGGTGTGGTACTCCCTCCTGTAATCCTAGCACTTTGGGAGGCTGAGGCAGGAGGATCACTTGAGGCTCAGAGTTCAAGACCAGCCCTGGTGACATAGCAAGACCCTGTGTCTACAAAAAAGAAAGAAAGGCAAAAAAAAAAAAATTGGAAATAAAAAAGGATGCTAAGCATACACGGACTCTTAGGCATTTTTCTTGTCATCATTCCCTAAACAGCACAGTATAATAACTATTTACATAGCATTTACATTGTACTGGGTATTATAACTAATCTAGAGATGATTTAAAGTTTATGGGAGGATGCGTGTAGGTTACATGCAAATACTGCATCATTTTACATAAGGGACTTGAGTGTCTGTGGATTCTAATATCCTCGGGGGATCGCAGGTCCAATCCCCATGGATACCGAGGGGGAACTGCATGTCACTCATTGATTCCTGAACACCCCAGCTGCTTCCAGGCCTTTGGCACTTTCTCACCTCTGTGCCTTTGCTCATTATTCCTTGGCTCTGTCACTTCCCCAGTATGTTTTTAAGCTGCCTTACAGAGAGAGGAGGAAATCCAGCCAGTTTCTGAAAATCAAGACCAAACCAGAAACCCCAAATCATCCATCAGAATTGGGTCCGGCTGCCCTCTCTCCTTATCCACTCAACTTCCTCCCTACATATTTATCTCCTATGCTTTGTTTTTCCTGAGCAGTTTGTAATTTGGGATTCAGTCTCATTACTTGAAGTTCGTTACCTCTCTCACTAGCTCTTACTTCCATGTAGATGTCTTGGAATTGACACAGAGTCCTCTTTGCCTCTCAGGCTGGTTTTGTTAGTCACCAGTAATGACCTGTTACTAAATGCCAGCACACCTCATTTTCTGACTTACTATGCCCTTTTGGGCAACTGGTAAACCAACATTCTCTTCTTTCATATCTTAAAATTCTATCCATCTTTCAAAGACAAATTCAGCTTCTATGCATAACCGAATCTTGCTTTTCCATCTCAGCAGTTTGTTTATGTTTCTATTACATAATTTATCCCTGTGCAAACAGTATAATTGGCTCCTTAAAATTTACCCTAGATTTGAGTCTCTTTGAGGGGAGAGTTTTATTTGCTTTTTTTCTTTCTAGCAGCCTTTACTATGCCTGGGATCTGAAGGCTTTCTTGGAAAATGACCATGGAGATCGAGCAGAGGAATCTCTGAGCAGGAGATTGAGAAATATACTTGGATTTTCTCATTTTTAAAAAGTTTCTAACGTTTTGTAATATGGGTATCTGCAAAAACTCTATTTTCATTTGGAATGAGAGTCGGAAGTACTGAGTTTAAAATCCCAGCTCTTGCTACTCTAACGGCAAGCATATTTAGGTTTTACTTTTCTCATCTTTTAACAGACTGGAGCAGTGTGTGTGTGTGTGTGTGTGTGTGTGTGTTTGTGTGTGTGTGTGTGTTTGTGTGTGTGTTCATTGTTTCCCAATATATAATGGTGATCTGAGAATCTTTAAATCTTCAGGCAGTATCACCCTACTGACTATCAACATGGAAGCTCACAGAACTCTGCACTCCTCTCTTCAGGCAGGAATATATATTCCCCTGCACATCTCTCTGGATGGAAATGAATGTTAATCAATATAAAGGAAATTATTATCTTGGTTGATTTCAAGTTGTCCACCATACGTCTCTGCAGGCTAGAATCTTCTACAAAGGAAAATCTGCTCAGTTGATAATTGCCAGGTTCTACTCACCTCATCCACAGAACAAAACGAGTGATATTTTATATATGCATTTCATGTATCTTCCATGTATGAATTATGCCAATTTAATAGTCAATTAGCTCCAAAAAGTGGTGATTAATTTTGCTACAAATAGTGGTGAGCTTTTGTCTCTCAGGTGGTAAAAGGCTCAAGAATCTAGAATGCCAGCAAATGTGTTATTATTTTAAATAGCTAACCACATACTAACCATCAGTAGACTAATGACTTTTGTGCAGTATTTCTCAACATCTGGTCCATGGAACGCGAGTCTCTCAAAACCATTCTCAGAGAACAGGACTCTATTGTCGAATTAGTTTGGAAAATGCTGAATATTGACTCTTCACTCTAGAAAAATCTCAGTGAATGGATATTAAATATGTATATTAGGTTTATATTGAAGGCTGAACATTCCTGAGGAAAAGAAATTGAGTTTATTTTGTATAATCTGGTATTTTCCAAGCTTGGTTAGCACACATAGTGCATTACCATCCCAGGGAACTAGTTCCTCTTAGGACATATGTTGGCAACTGTTGCCCTTGAGAATATCCTCTTAGAAGTTTATGGAACTCCACACCTCTCTTCAGTAGGCAAGGCGTGTTTATTACTACAGTATAAGATAATAGCTCATGACAGATAAGCTCCCAAGAGCAGACAAATCGATTGGTTCAAGTTTGGCTTTTTTTTTTTTTTTTCAAATTAAAACGGCCCAAACCCTGAGCAGCAGCACTTATTCAATCTGCTTCCAATTTGCACATTCTAAATACAATCTGGCTTTCAGGTAAGAGGAAGATAAAATTGTTTTTTTTCCGCAGAAATCTGCCTTTTATAAATGGCTTTAATTTTCTGGCTCCAGATAAATCAGAAGTATCCTGAGAATAATGCTCTTTTGAGTATTTTGGGTTTTCTTTCACCACAGTCTCTTAAAAAAACTCGCGAGATTTGACTCCCAAATTGACAGAATCAAGTTGGCTTAAATCCATCTGTTCAGTCCTAATTCCAACATGGGAAAAGAGAATTGAGGAGAACAGAAGTTCTGAATAACATCTGGGTATTAGAAAAACAAAGAGGAGGTAGGATTTAACTACCCGATGAGGAATTGATGTAGCACGCCCTGCCGCAGGAAATGGCGCATTTTGGTCACTTCCACTCAGGGCAGAATGGGGTGGGGAAGGTGAGGAAGTCACACTCAGCTACCAAAGGAGGGCCGGCCCCCGTCTACTCAGCAGCAAAGTGGGAAAGCAAAAAGACTTTCTTTTCAGCATGCTTTTCTCGGACAACCCTTCTATGTCTTGTAACTCAGAAATTCCTCCCACAATCTCTCTCCCCGCAGTCAGTTGTCCATGTCCTTTCTCACTTCTCCCTTTCTTAATCAAAACCAGCTTTCAGAAAAAGTTATTTCTAACCAAGGCATAACTGTGTAATGATGTTGACAATGTTTTCCTTCCCAGAAGTCTTTGAATACTAATAAGGATAAAATGTCTCCTGTAATTTCTTGTCTGGTCAAAGTCTAGTCCCATCCCAGCAGTTTACCATGAGAACCCAGCCATCTTCAGATGACCTGCCTCTCCCTGCAATATTGGCTTCTTTTCTTTTCTTTTCTTTCTTCTCTTTTCTCTTCCTTCCTTCCTTCCTTCCTTCCCTCCCTCCCTCCCTCCCTCCCTCCCTTTCTTTCTTTCTTTCTTTCTTTCTTTCTTTCTTTCTTTCTTTCTTTCTTTTTTTCTTTCTTTCTTTCTTTCTTTTTTTGAATCAGGGTTTCTCTCTATTGCCCAGGCTGGAGTGCAGTGGTGTGATCACAGTTCACTACAGCCTCGACCTCCTGGGCTCTAGTGATCTTCCTGCCTCAGCCTCCCAAGTAGCTGGGATTATAGGGATGAGCCATCATGCCTTGCTATTTTTAATTTTTTTTAGAGATCAGGGTCTTGCCATGTTGCCCAGGCTGATCCTGAACTCCTGACTTCAAGCGGTCCTCCCACCTTGGCTTCCTAAAGTGATAAGAATACAGGCGTGCGCTACCATGCCCACCCAAAAATAACTTTTAGTAAGAGTTGCCATATATTACTTTCTTTCTATGTGGCAGGCACCATATTGAGTTTTCTGTTATTTATTTAATTTCCTCAACAACTTACCAGGTTGAATAGCAGCTTCATTTTAGAAATGAAGAAAAAGCCCTGAGAGAAGTGAAATATTTTTTTCCCAAGTTGACTGATGACAGAGCTAGAATTTGAATCGAGATGTTTCAAATCCCAAGCATGTGCACCTGATGACTCTGCACACTTTCTGCCAGAAGCTCCGCCTGGATGGGGATCAGCAGTTCTCACCCCGCAGCTGCAGCGAGTGGTGAATGACTGCAGGCCCCAATCCCTCTCACCTGCCCATGGGTAAGCCTCTCAGACCCTCTTCTTCCCAGGTCTTCTAAATATACAGGATTACTAGCAACTCTCATCACTGCGCTCTACCCTGGAATCCCTTCATCCCTGGTCCCCTTTCCTAGATTGACATTCCTGCTTCTGAACACCCACTTCCTAACACATTATATGAGCCCTTCTTTTCCTCATAAGCCCCTTCTGCCACATTCATCCCTTGACTAGGGGGATGTAATAGGAACATATATTTTTAGTAGGGGTTGTCTCGGTGTTTCCTGAAATCAAATTATACATGTGTAAATGTGTGAATCAATAAATATATATATACACATAAATATAAATCTGTATATATGTCTATAAATACACACGCACACAATATATTATATATGCCACCTAATGGTTACTGAATAGAACTGTCCTTGCCATTCTGCTACCTTGAACCTCATTCAAGTGATACTTCCTGGAGAATGAGGAAATGTTGGCTGACATGAACATCCCAAGCTTCTGTTTCTCATCAACAGTGTGCAACCGATTTCTGAACAGTTAAGTATCTGGGTGAAAACTATTTCTGCCCAAGGGCAGTCAATGTGAAGAAGTTGATTCAGCCACTTTACCTCTCAACAAATTTAGCATCCAACAAATACTTATAGAATACCCATGTAAGAGGCACCATGATGGGCATTGTCAACCAAAAAGTGATTGAGGCAGGTGTCAATCCATAGAGGTTTATTTTGTCAAGGTCGAGGACATGCCTGGGAAAAAACACCAGTTGCAGGGACATATGTGACCTGTGATTTTTCCAAAGGGTTTAGGAACTTCTGTATTTAAAGAGGAAAGAGGAAGCAGGAGGGGAAAAAAGAGGGTAGGCAGTGAGGTAGGTGTTACATTCTAGTGAGGCTCTGATGAGCCTTAGTAAACTACATTTTACATGTGAAATGAGAGTGTAGATGAAAAAGTCAATGATGCCTGGTCTCATGCTCAGTAAATCTACATTTCGTTTAAGATTAAGTATTATAGACATGAGAAAAGAGGGAGTAGAGGAAATGAGGCTATGATATGGGGTTGTGAAATTACAGCTATCTGCTCCAGAACAAAAGGAAGGCAGGATTTGTGACTCGGTTCCCAACCTTAACTTTCCCTTTGGCATGGTGAGTGTGGGGTCCCGAGATTCTATTTTCTTTCACAGCACTGGGAATGAGAAGTTGAAAAGATGTGCGTCTACCCTCATGGGGCCCATCTTCATAGAAAAACAAAGGGGCAAACATCCAATGGAATAAAAATATTGCTACCATGCCCTCATGGACAAAGGGCTCTAGAAGCAGAGAAGACTATTTCTTGTTTATGAGACGAAGTTGTTTCTTTTTAAATCCATAAATGTTTGGTGTCCTTAACCAGATTCAAAGTCCTTGAAGAGAAAAAAAATCAATTTTTTGTTCTCTCTTGCCCCATGTTAGCATTTAGTAGAGCCATCTCCCTACAGCCAAGATTTGAGTTGTGAGGCAGGTTGCTTGTGTTGCATAAGGAACAACTGAGATGCCTCACAGAGGTGCCCTAAGGACAAGCTAATAGAAATGAGGCCAAAGTGTTTTGTTAGTAGAAAGTTTAAGAGAGCTGCAGAAACACTTCACCGTGACCTAACGAAGGGAAAAAAAGAATGCAGGAGAGAGAGCAAGACCTGCAGAACAGCTTGCAGATCACAGAAGCATCTTCTGTCTGACAAAATATGAAGGTCCACATGAGGCAATGGCCACATCACCCAGTGACCAGGGAGCCTTGAGGAAAACAGGGGGGAAATGGACTTCAGAAGGAAGCCCTGCCCCTGGCTAAAGAAGGCTGAGGAGGCTTGGTTCACATTGCCGGTGATTTCAATTTCTGATCCTCAAGGCACGAGGATGCCCAGGCAGAGCTTTGCTCATGGCACCATTAGGAGAGAGAGGAGAGCACTTTGCCTGGGAGGCATTCACCTGGTTCCCCCGCAAAGCAAAGAGTGCAAAGATACGACCATGCAAATCACCTCGGGGTGTCTGGATGACTCTGCTTGGCAGTCGGCTTCCTCAAATTATGTCTCCACTTCTGCTACTCCTCACACAAGTCTACAGCATGTCCTTACGGAACCTTAACTGATGATGCCTAGATTGGGTGGGATTGTTGATAATGTCGAATAAAAGGGAGATGATGTCACTAGTGATAGGGACAGGAGGCAGGGAAATTCTGGGCAGAAGAGAGCGGGTCCCGGGCAAGGGCCCCACCCTCAAGCCTGGAACCTCAGCCCAAAGTGAGAACATACATCCCTGTTTTTCTGCCTGAATGTTGCCTTTTCCAAAACCACCCATGGCCCAACCCACCCCGCTCCCCATCCTGTGGCCATAAAAACCCCAGGCAGAGGGAGTAGAGAAGAGCAACTGGACATTGGAGACTATGCTGAACGTTGGAGAGAAGCAGCTTGACTTCAGAGGAACAGCTTGATGGTGCAGCTTCAGAGGGGAGTCCAGCCAAGGACAGCTGGACTCTGGGGGAAGATTATCTTCCTGCTGTGTCCCCTTTTCAACTCCCCATCCCGCTGAGAGCCACTTTCATTGGCAATAAAATCCCCCACATTTACCATCTTCAACTCATTCATGCAACTTTGTTTTTCAAGGATGCTGGACAAGAGCTCAGAGCCACAAGTGTGGGTGCAAAAGGCTGTCACATTGACCCTCCACTGAGCTGTTAATACTTAAGCCGTCTGCAGATGGCAAAGCTAAAAGAGCACCGACTGTAACACTCCCTCTGGGGCTTAAGGGGTCGTGGACACCCCTCTAGACGCTGCCTTGGGGCTGGTATAGAGTTCGTTTCTACCAGCGCCCAAAAGCACTCACCTCGGCTCCTGTACCTGTTCACCTGCGTGGTCCTTCCTGTGGGGGGGTTGAGCACAGTGGGTTCAAGTGAGTGGACTTCACCTCCGCCAGCACCAGAGCACCTGGTTAGTTCCCACGCCCACACTCCAGTTTCCACCTGCAAAGGGATGAGGGGTAGTTTCCTGCTTCACTAGCATAAAACAGAGTGCCACTCTGAGCCTCCAAAACCTGTTCGGGCATCTGTTTTTTTAAAAATTGTTTGTTTTTACAACTTTCTTAATAAATACATAGATAATTCATAAAAGTAGACAACCATAAGTCACGTGTGTGTAGTGATCGACATTTAACCTCATGAAGTTTAAGGATAGTCTATGGATTATTTGCCTTGGAGTTCCTTACTTTTTTTCTTTTTTTTTTGAGACAGATTCTCGCTCTGCTGCCAGGCTGGAGTGCAGTGGCATGATCTTGGCTCACTGCAACTTCTGCCTCCCAGGTTCAAGTGATTCTCCTGCTTCAGCCTCCCGAGTAGTTGGGATTACAGACCCATGCCACCACGCCCAGCTAATTTTTGTGTTTTTTAGTAGAGACAGGGTTTCACCATGTTGGCTAGGATGGTCTCGATCTCTTGACCTCGTGATCTGCCCGCCTCAGCCTCACAAAGTGCTGGGATTACAGGCATGAGCCACCGCACCCAGCCTTAGTTCCTTATATTTTGAAAAAAAGATTATGTCATTTGCTATGGCTAAAAATTGCTGTTCTTTTGTTAACTGGCCAACATTCAACTTTCGTTACACTATACTTTGATTTCTATTCACCTGTCTATACCTTGCACTAGACTGAATTTCACGAGGGCAGGAATTATCTCTTGTTTAGTATCTTGTGCCCAGCTTGGCATATACAAGTAGGTGCTAAGATTATGATTGAATGATTGAATAAATACTATGTTAATGTAACAGAGGTAGGGTCTCGGCTTGTCATCAGGTCTTAGCTAAGCCTAATCATTTTTCATATGAGATAATTCTTACTCTCCTAAGTTACACTGGTAGTCACTGAATTTCTGTTCTGCCATCAGAAATGCAAATTAATTATGCAGATTGCATCTCTTTACATTCTGGACAATTAACTTGCAAACTGGTATAAATTCTAGTCTTCTTATCTCATTGTAAAAGGATAGAAGGCTTTGTCTTGTTTTGCAATACGAGATGAAAACATCGAGCTGTTTCTCTTCCACCCTGGGCTATAGCTTTGGGCTGGGTCCAATGCCACATAGCTAGATCTCAAGCCTGGGGCTTCCGTGCCAGAAGCAAGACTGAGAGGTACTGTGGGAGTCAGTTGGAAGCTCAGCTGGGGAGGCTCAAACTTCCACATACAGGCTCCTGAGACTCCTGCACATGTGCTCAATTATTTGCAGTTAGGTCCTGGCTCTCCAAACTGGCACATGAACAAACAGGGCTCCTGTTCTTTAGGGCACAGGAAAACTTTATAGAGTTGAAAGCAAAGCATGTAAATGATGGGGCCCCAGATTTGAGAAATTACAGGCTTGGACATCTACAGGAGCCATTTTGAAGATAAATAGAAGAGAGGAGGAGCTTGTTTGTGTCTTCATCTCTGTGGACTAAGTAGGGACAGCCAGATTGCCCCAGGTGGGGAGAAGGTGTGTCCACGCTTGTGATGTAATGTGACTTTCTTCAATGCCGTGTGACTTAGTCCATAGAATCTAAGTAGGAAAGCAGATGAAGTAGGGGGAAAAAATGAGGAAAGCTTGCAGTTGAGTTATACATTGCCTTGGAGAGATTGCATATCACTTGAGCACAATTTACTCTCAGTTAAATCAGACCATCTTTTCCATCCACTTCTTCTGGGCAGCTTCTGAATGTGCCCTAGCATTGCAGATTCATTAGCATGGGGGTTCAGGCTTGCTTTTAGCCTTAGCAGAGAAAGAAGATGTTCTTCTCTAAGTAATTTCTTTAAATTTAGAAGACTTTCTGACCCAGAATCTTATTTCCCAAAGGAAAAGAAAGAAGAGAAGCACAAGCTCAAAGGGTTTGGAAAGCATATTGTGTTGGAAGATAGATATTCATTCCCCTTGACTAAAGAACAATCATCTTGGCGGGGATGGGGGTGGGCCTGGGGAAGGGGGAGTCAGGAAAGGAAGGGAGTAGATACTCCAGCCAGCCCCATTCCCCTTGAGATAAACTGAGGGGCTGATGTCAACGTTGGCGAATGACTGTAGCATCTTGCTTTCATCCAGACAATCTGCAAAGCGACCGTGTGCAATTCATTTCATGCCCTCTTCACAGCTGAGAGGTCAGCCAGGCGGCATCATTACCCCACATTGAGTTGCTCCTCCTCTCTGCCTCCAGAGCACACAGCCCATGTTGCCACCAGAGCACTGATCAGATTGTGTCCTGGCTACTCTTTCTAAAGTGTTCGTGTGGGGTTTGGGCATTGCCCCTATATCAGAGGACTCAGGAAGACCTGAACTTTCATCTGCCAAGCACACTCCCTCCCGCCTGATTCCCTGAGGGAGATGTACAAATGAAATGAGTGATAATGGGTGAGAAACCAAACGCTCACTTTATTTTCAGCCAAGTTCCTTATGGACTGCAGCACTGGGATGAGCCTGTGGGCCTAAATGGGGCCTCTGTGGATCCCCAAACGTAAATGTAGTGTTGAACCCCAAATGAAAAGCCTGTTCATTTGTGAAAAAGAGAAAAGAGAGCCAGAGGCTCCATTCTAGAGGGACAGGCTCTGCCTTTCTCTCAAGCCAGCCCAAGGGAGAGAGCAGAATTGGGTGTGTCCACAGCTGAAGTACGGAAACAGGAGGAATCAGACAGCCATGCCCAAATGAAACCTTGTAAAACCTGCAGCCCCACCCCATGGCAGATGGGACCCAGTCTGTGTCCTGGAAGCTGGCTCTCGGGGGGTGGATAGGTGGGGGGGTTAGTATAGGTGAGAGGTAGAGGGTTGCTTCTCCTCTATAGTTGTGTATTATCCTGTCTCCCTTAGTGTACTAGCCTGTGAGCTTTCTCAGGGCAGGCAGTGGGTCTTAAGCATCACTGTAGCTGCATTCCACCTTCTAACACACCATGCAGCACAGAGCAGGCTCAGGAGAGATTACTCAGTATTAAAAGAAGATGGGCTCAGAAGTGTCAGGTGACTTGCTCAGATTCTGCAGCTAGCAAGTGTTTGATAAGTGGGACTCGGGTTTTTAAATTGTGTGATTTCCTTACATTTTGTTTCTCTGCCACATGACATCTCTCTAGAACAGGCAGAAATGCATCCGAAGGGAGCCCAGCTGGGGTTCATGACCCCTGCAAACATCCTTACGTTGAATGCAAACTTTTGTGTGTTGATTTCTGAAGAGAGGCTCAGTGGTTTTCAACACGTTCTCAAAGAAGTTTGCGACCTAAGGAAAAGTTAAGAACCAATCTTTCAGGAGATTGCATTGGAAGCTACTCTAAATAATATGCATAGTGCCTGAGTGCTGTAGGCACTAAATGAGGATCAGCCTCCTTCCCGCTTTTCTAAAAGTGAGGCAGCAGGAAATGGATGGAATCCCAGTGATCACCCTCTGTCACATCTTCACCTTTGGAAGGTGTCTAGCTTGGAGTTTCAAATTAGAAAGAGAATCGACTCACATGGGAGCATATTTTCTCTAACTTGAAAAAAAATAAAGAACATCACTTTCAGCCCCAATTTATCTGTCAAGTGAAAAATGGATGAAAATGTCATGAAGATGATTGAGAGACAGATACACCCAGACACCAACCATGATAACCATGTTACCTCAGAGGATTGAAACTTCAAAATGGTCAGACTTTTTTTGTTTTCTGAGATGGAGTCTCGCTCTGTCGCCCAAGCTGGAGTTCAGTGGCGTGATCTCGGCTCACTGTAAGCTCCACCTCCGGGGTTCACACCATTCTCCTGCCTCAGAACTCCCGAGTAGCTGGGACTACAGGCACCTACCACCACGCCCAGCTAATTTTTTGTATTTTTAGTAAAAACAGGGTTTCACCATGTTAGCCAGGATGGTTTCGATCTCCTGACCTCATGATCCGCCCTCCTCGGCCTCCCAAAGTGCTGGGATTACAGGCGTGAGCCACCGCGCCCGGCCCCAAACTGGTCAGATTTTAAGGTTCCATTACATCACCAAACCTGAGCTGGAAAAACAACAACATAAAAGAGCTAGCCAGCCGGGTGCAGTGGCTCACGCCTGTAATTCCAGCACTTTGGGAGGCTGAAGCGGGTGGATCACGAGGTCAGGAGATCGAGACCAGCCTGACCAACATGGTGAAACACCATCTGTACTAAAAATAAAAAAATCAAGCCAGGCGTGGTGGCTCACGCCTGTAATCTCAGAACTTTGGGAGGCTGAGGCGGGCAGATCACAAGGTCAGGAGTTCGAGACCAGCCTGGCCAACATGGTGAAACCCCATCTCTTCTAAAAATTAGCCAGGCATGGTGGCATGTGCCTATAATCCCAGCTACTCGGGAGGCTGAGGCAGAAGAATCGCTTGAACCCGGGAGGCAGAAGTTGTGGTGAGCTGAGATCATGCCATTGCACTCCAGCCTGGGCAACAGGGCAAGGCTCCGTAAAAACAAAAACAAAAACAAAACAAAACAAAACAAAAAACCTAGCCATGTTAAAATTATGACCAAAGGAGGTTTTCTCTCAGAATTTGTTCTATTGTTTATAATGCTTGTCAGAGGAGTGTTGATGGGCA